>NC_000005.10:166973445-167276475 GCF_000001405.40 Homo sapiens | reverse complement strand
GAAATATTAAATAGATCATTTGAATGACTTTATAGTTATTGATGAAATTGAATTTATAATGTCACAACTCTCTCAGATACACACACACACACACACACACACACACACACACACACACACACAAAATGAACAGGCTCAGCTGGTTTCACTGGTGAATTCTACCAAATGTTTAAAAAGGAATTGACACCAGTTCTACAACATCTCTTCCAGGAAATTGGAAGGGGATCATTTTCCAATTATTTTATGAAGCTACTTATTACCCTCATGACTAAACAAGACAAAGATAGTACAAAAAGAAAGAGCAAAAGAAAGAAAGAAAAGAAAGCTAAAGACCAATATTCCCTTGGTATATAGATGCAAAAAATCCTTACGATAGCAAATAAAAAATCAGTAATATATAAACACAATTACACACCATGAACAAAAGAGATTTATTCTGAGGATGCAAGACTCAGAATTCAATATTTTAAAGGCAATGAATGTAATTCATTGTATTAAAAGGCTAAAAAAATTCTAGTCACAGTATCTCCCCTGAGAATTCAAAGAGATAATGATGTCTGCTCTCACCAGTCTTGTTCAACATGGTGCTGGAACTTCTAGATGGTGCAACAACACAAGAAAGGAAAGTAAGAAGCATATAGATCAGAAAGAAATACATAAAACTTTCCCTGTTTACAGATGACATGATTGCATCTGCAGAAAAATCTCAAGGAATCTACAAGAAAACTCCTAGAAACTAATATAAGCAAGTTCCTCGAAGTCATAGGATATAAGATAAAAATGTAAAAATCAATTGCATTTCAATACACTAGCAATGAACACATGGGCACTGGAAATCAAAACACAAAGCATTTAGAATCACTAACAAAATGAAGTACTTAGATACAAAGCTATCAAAACATGTATAGAAATTATGTGGTGCAAACTACCCAACACTGATGAAAGAAATTATAGAAGATCTAAATAAATGGAGAGACATATTGTGTCATGGATTGAAGGACTCAACAGAGTTAAAATATCAATTCTCCCCAAATTGTTATACAGATTGAATGAAATTCCTATGAAATCTTAGCAAAATTTTTTGTAGATATAGATAAGTTTGTTTAACAGTATATATAGAAAGGCACAAGAACTGGAATAGCTAAAACAATTATTTAAAAAAGAAGAAAGTGGGAGGAATGAATCTATCCAATCTTAAGACTTATAGAGCCACAGGAATCAATACTGTGTGGTGTTGGTGGAGAAACAGACACACATATTAATGGATACAATAGAGAACCCAGGTACATACCCACACAGCTATGTCCAACTGATTTTTAAGAAAGGTGCAAAAGCAATTCAATGGAGGTAAGACAGCATTTTCAACAAAGGGTATTGGAGCAATTGAACACCCACAGGGAAAAAGAAACAAACAACAAAAAACTCCTTAATTTAGTTTAAATAAATATATGTGTGTATATATATTTATATGTATATATATTCTTCTGACAGGGTAAATGACCCTGTTAAAAGGATTAAAGGACAATCTACAGACAGGAATGTATGTACAAACCATATATCTGAGAAAGGATAAATACTGATAATATATAAATATTTCTCAAAACTCAACAGTAAAACAATTCTAAACAATACAATTAGAATATTGGCAAAAGACATGGAGTCATATTTCACTGAATAGGATATATAAATGGCAGATAAACATATGAAAACATGTTCATCATTAGCCATGAAAAATATAGATAATTCCACAATGACACATTACTACAAACCTATTATAATAGCTACTTTTTTTTTAAATGACAAAACTAATTGCCAGAAAGGATGAGAAAAAACTGGATCACTCATGCAGTGACTCTGGAAGGCAGTTGGCTAGTTTCTTAAAAAAAAAAAGAAAGAAAGAAAGAAAAGAAAAATTAAATGTGTAACTGCCATACAACCTAGTAACTGTACTACTGGGCGTTGATCACAGAGAAATGAAAACTTATGTTCATGCAAAAACCTGTACCCAATATTTATAGCAAAACATTCACTCATTAGCCCCAAACTGGAAACAACCCAAGTGTTCTTCAATGGGTGACTAGTTAAACAAACTATGGTATACCCATGCCATGAAATACTGCTTAGCAGTGAAAAGGAATGCACTAGAGATACACAGAACAATCAGTATGAATCATCAGAGAATAATCCTGAGTGAAAAAAGCAATCCTAAAGATTACATTTTGATGGCATGGCTCCACTTACATAACATTCTGGAAATCACAAAATTATAGAACTAGAGGACAGGTTAGTGGCTGTCAGGGTTAAGAAGGGTATGATGGTGTGTAAGAAGTCAGTATAGCTATAAATGGGCAACATGTGGAATCAACTTTGTGATGGAAATGTTTTGGATCTTGGCTGTATCAGTGTCAGTCTCTTCATTGTGACATTGTACTACAGTGTGCAAGATGTTGCTATTGGTGGAAATTGACTAAAGGGATGCATCTTTAGTCATTGCCCATTGGATATCTCTGTATTACTTCCTTCTGGCTGCATACGATTTGACAGTTGTAGCAAAGTACAAAGCCTACTTTAAAAAAATCCCACAATGCCACATACCTGGCCTCAAATTCCATCATGAAAATAAATACCTATTTGGAAGGTCATTTACAATTTTAAACTAGGTACACAAACACCCCTTTTTAAAAATTATTACTGTCATTATTTTACCACCCCTTTCAATTGTATAGCGAGGCTTCTTTATTTATTTGAACCCTCTGCTTGGACAACATAGTCTTTATATTTGTGAGTTTTGGTATAAAGGAAAAAGAAACACTTTGGTGGCTCCTAGAAAGGATCACAAAAAGCTAGTTACAATATAAGCAACCACATTTGCCAACATATTTTTTAAGACAATTCTAAAGTAATAAGATACTACTCTTAATCCTAATACAGTTGAATAGCCATCTTTTAATAAATGTATTTATTGCTTATGATGAGTAAGCACTGTCAGCATAGTTGTCCTTGAAAGTTAAGGTCAACAATTCATGTGGGGAAATGCAAGTTTAGAGACTGTTTTTAAAAAGTAATTAAAATTGCCTTGAAGCAGTAGGAAGGATGGTAACCAAAATTATAAATCTTTTCCCCAAGCCTCCACCTTTTCTGCCACTGACAAATGGCCATCACCGGATGGCAATACCTCTGCCAGCTCGTTACTGCTATGCTGGGGCTTTATTCTGTTACATTCCACATTTCCGCCCTTGAAGAGCGTTCACACTGCTTTCTTCATCAGTTGCCTAAGTGGGGTCCATCACTTTAGCAAAACAGACTACAGCGATCTTGCCTGCAAGCCTTTGTCTAATTAACTAATCCTATGAGCTGTAACACTGTTCACGATTAACTTCTCAGAATATCCTACTACTTAAGGGGGTTGACTTGTTAATCACTGACAGCCCATTTGAGATATGTGTGTGAAAGTGTGTGTGTGTGTGCTATTGTATATATGAGTGTACCTGTGTACCTGTTTGTGTTTGTGTATGTGTGTGTAAATGGATGCAATAAGGATGCACAGGTGAATTTTAGGTGCATCCAATGGAAATCCATGTTTTCCCTGTCAGAACAAATACTACAGAGAGTTGTTTAAATGTGTATCTCTCGCATCATTGGTCTTTGATCACACCCCAGGCATTGTTTCATTGTGCTTAAATATTTGTGTCTTCTAAAATGACTGTGCACCTTTAGGATGTATGGTATCAAGAAAGCCAGCTATTTCCAAATGCCCGTGTGAATTGAGAGGCAATCTGTTAAATCTAAGTGGGGATGGATGTGACCACCTTTCTTCCCCACTTAAAAATTACGACAAGTAATTGAAGAAGATAGTCTAGAAGGGAGTAGGGGAAAGGGTTAGTACACGTGAATCAAACTTTCTTATTTCTTAATTTGAGCTAATGTTAAAGGTATTCTATAATTCTAATAAAAAGTTTTATTGGATGAGCATGTTTATAGTCAAAAATACATATTTTAAAAGCTCAATCAGAAAACTGTTGTACAAAACCTGTCTTCCTTCTGATAACACGTTAATTGAATTGCCAACCTGTTTCTTAAATATTGCAGGTGACATGCTTTTCTGTTTAAGAAAATGTAATGGATAATGCACGGTGCCTTTATCCTTTATTCCTCTGTTTTGCCTGTTTCCCAAAAGCAGAACTACTAAGTCAACCCGAAAACAGTGCATCCCATTCTTGTGTGTTAGAACTTTTGCATAAAAGTGGTTCATTTAAAAATATTTAAAGTACCAATTGGAATGTCATGCAGAGCCTTACACAAAAGAAAGAGAGAGAAGCTGAGATAGGGGATGAAGCTGGAGTCTGTCTGCCTCCTTCCATCCCCAAGAAGGGCCTGATGGACACAGTGTGAAAACTGGTACTCTAAGATTTCCAGTCTCCTCTTAGACACACTTAAGGGTAATTCTAAGCATAGATACACTCCAAAATATTTACAGAGAGAATATTCCTGTGACCGCTGGGTAGACCAAGGAAAATCTGGTTTAAAATCTACAAAAGTGGGAGATAGTGGCCTAGTAATTTAATGCAATAGTAAATAAGAGGTCAAAGGAAATTCGCTTCCTGTTCCCTTGTGCCATTATACTGACATGTCTGGGGATAAAAAGCCAACTCTGGTTAATGTCCAGAGCAAGAAAGAATAAGCAAATTCACAATTGTGTTTTGCTCCCTAGCTTCAGAGCTACATGTTCCTGCCTTTTAGAATCTGTTAAGGTCCCTGGAGCCATTTGCACAGGAAATGGTGAGAGCAGAGCCAGGATCCGCTGTCTATGAATTTTATGAATTGTGAAATGAAAAACATTTTTTACGTACTAGCAGTCCAAATCAACAAAAGCCACAAAGGGATAACACGTACCTTATAAATCTAGATATTTGCCATGATAGTGCAAGCTTATGTGTTTGTGTGTATTCTTACTTGAATAGCAATGAAAAGACAAATATCTATATCAGATTGGTAGTTCATCTAATTCCATGCCTTTTTTCCCCCTCTCCAGTCCAAACTGCTTAACATTCAAGAAAGACAGCATGGTTACACCTCCTGCAAAAATTTCAATACGAAATGTGGAGGTTTACTGAAGCCTGTTCCTCTTCAGCTCCACCTTCCCCACATGCAGACCCATCAGCTCTCCTCCCATTTTCCTATGTGCCTCCTGAGATCAGAAGCTGAACAGATGGCTGTACCTTAGGCACTGGCTAAGTTACCATAACCGGAAAAACAGTCCCTCCCCACTCCTCCTCACCATGCAGAGCTTTCGGAGAGGCAGCAGAGAAAGCCCATGAGCCTGCAGCCTCAAAACCTAATGAAGAAAAAGATTGAACACCCTCTTCCCATTCCATTGAATGTGCCCCTCTCTGTAAATGAGATTGAAAGCCACACTAGACAATCACAGTGTGCAGAGGATGCACCATCAAAGTCAAAATCATCGTCAAGTCAAGCTCCCAATTTCATGAATGCCTGCCAGTCACCAGGCCTTGAGTTAGGCTCCTAAAGTAAGTTATCACTAATTGAACCATCCTGCAACACAGATGTTCTTAGCTGTGTTTTAGAGATGGGAAAATGTAAATTCTGAGAGGTTAAGTGAGTTGTTAATTCCAGATGCCTAAAAAGTGCTCACATCAAGATTGGGACTGATAGCTGCCTAACTCCAAGGCCTGCCTTCATTACAAAGAGAAACGACAGAGAAAACGGCAGTCTTAGAGCATTCTCCCCTGCCCTTTGGCCATTGGATTTGTAATTGTCCAAGAACCTAGTTCCTTCAATCCAATGCAGTTGCCTCAGGAAGTTACTAGCCACATCACAATCCTGATGTGGGACCATCTACATCAAGGGTAAGGGCACCATCCAATCAAGGAACCAGTATATTCGAGTGCCTCTAAGATAGCATGAACACTGGATACAGGAGAGAGAGATCATGATGAAGAGACAAAGAAGAATTGAGGGAAATAGGCCTCAGTTTCCACTTCTGGAAAGTGGGGATAATATACCTACCTTGAAGGCATTATGAGGATGCCAAACAGGTATGTGTGAATCTCCTAATAATAGATGCTCAATTAGTGACGGACTTTACCATCACCACCACCACTCCCACCACTAATGTCAATTATTACTACTACCATCTGGCCATGAACAATAACAGTAGTGGTTACTTCGTGATCCTTAAAGTGCAAGTTAAGTACCAGTATTCTAAATGACATGTTAGGTTGCTGTATTTCTGAGCTCTAAAGAGTTAGCAGCGTGGCACTTTCTTAGCATAGAAACACAAATATTAATAACCCATTTGATATTCTACTTTTGCTGCATGAAACAGTTCCATTTAACACTGAAAATCTGAAACTGAGGTGTTCTAACTACATCACTCATTCTTAAATTAGATGCACTTGGCCTGTATTGTAAATAGACCATATTGGGTTCATCACAGAAATGATAACATATATGATAAGGAGAAATGACATGAAAAAGATGAGTTGTTTATAACTATCTGACTACTTGTTCAGGTATCTCACTACCTGATCCTAGTAACTGGGAATTCTGTTGTTTCTTATACCTAAACAATGGATGTGGAGATACAGAAGTTGAAGAACTGGGATGGTTCTAAATTTCTTTGCATAATAAAGAGAGAAGGGTCTTAAGAGAGTAGGTAAGTACAGAGAATGAAACCAGAAGGATTTACAGATCTTGTGGGGAAGAATGTAAAAGAGGCATATCCAGAGAAGAAGAGAGTGAATGAGTGGAGAAGGAAGATATTCCCTGGAGACTTTCAGAGTGGAATGCAATGTACTGGGTGATATAAATCCTTTTTTACTCCATCCCCCAGCCAAAAAGGTAGGGGAGGGAGGACTGACAGTACAATGCACTTTCATCATTTTTGTTATGAATCTGATTGTGTGTGTGTGTGTGTGTAGTCACTATTTTCTACTATTTTACTATTATGAGTAAGCATATAATATTCATTAAAGTCTTGCTTCAATGATGACATGAGACAAGAACTAAGGTGCAAAATCCAGAAACGGATGATAACAAGATCATTTTGCTCTGTGTATGAGATTTTCTGTGAGGGCAGGGACCGTGCCTCTTGCCAGTAAATCTCCAGTAGCTGGCACAGAACCCAGCATTAAAGAGCGCCCAATAAAGCTTTGTTAAAAATAGATGTGTGTTTACAAGACATCTCAAAAAAATGATGGGAAAAATGTTTAAAAGGCCTTAGAGCCATTGTTGTCTTTCTTAGCTGTTAACTGCCCTGAATATATCTTTCAGGTCTGTTGTTAATTTGCAGCATTTACATAAGAATTTTCATACAAATTTTGTGACGTATTTTCTTCCTGCTTTGTCAAAAAAATACAACATAAATGTTCTCTTTCAAGGTAGCTCTGCTTCCTTAATTAGGAAACAAAGTATAAATATTGTTAACTTCTTTGAAAGATTTAAAATAATACTCAGAGTGTAGGAGTTGGCTCCTGAAACAATGTGAAATCAAAATCAATGCCCTACTGAAAAAAAAAATGTCTGTCTATCTATCTATCTATCTATCTATCTATCTATCTATCTATCTATCTATCTATCTATGTATCTTTTGGAAAGGATGTGCTGAGGCCTAGCAATGCTATATGTCAGGGATCAACAAACATCTTCTGTAAAGATCCAGACAGTAAAACTTTTTGCACATCATAAGGTATGTTACTACTACTGAACTCCACCATTGTAACCCAAAAGCAGTAATAGATAATACAGAAATGAATGGGCATGCCTGTGTTTCAATAAAACTTTATTTACAAAAACAGCCAGCAAGTTCCATTTGACCCCCAGGCCACAGTATGCTAACCTCTGCTATTATGTACATAACAAAAGCAAGACATTTGGAATTCTGGTCAAATAGCTTCACATCAAACATGCCTCACCAAGAATCTTACAGCAGATGAGGACTTCTTTTGCCAGAAATCTTGCAACATGTTGAATTAACACAAACAAGGCATTCATAGTGGGGACAGTAACTAGTACAATGTAACAAAATAAATTGCTTGTATTTAGGAGGTTACTGATTTGAAATTGATACATTTTCTTAGGCTAGGAGCCAAGGCTGTGCATCTCTTGAGAAGATGCATTTGGATTTAACTGCTCTTGTGACAATAGTTTGAAATCTGACCTTTCTGTATAATACGTGTTTAGTTATTGCCTGACTGCTGCTGCTAATTATTATTTTGTCCATTATTTCTGGCATTGAGGTTTGTCAGTGAATATTAGAAGCAGCCACAATTACATCAAATTATTTTCTTATACCACTTTTCCATCTCTATGCCTCTATATCTTATTTTGCACTTAAGATAATAAAGATATTTCATTTATCAAATGGCCAAAAATGTTGATAGTTCAAGTTTTAAGTTCCAGAAGAATACACATGCAGAGAAAGAAGCTCATACCCACACTGGCTGAAAAAGGTGTTTGTCAAGAAGTAAGGAGTAAGAATTTGAGTGATAGCTGAAGAGTTCATTTATACAAACCTGTATTTAAAAAGACTCTTTGTTGCCTGTCCTTACTATTGCAGCTTAGTTGTAAATCAATAGGTAATATGAAAGAAAAGATTAAAAAATGTACAGCCCCATAAAAAATTTTGTGCAAATTTAAAAATAACTCAATAACATCAATCTCAAAATTATGTACTTGCATCCCTGCATTTCCTAAGGATCCCTTAAGGTATACCATTATATTTTTACGGCCATTAGCACTGCCATTCACCAGAAACATAATGCTGTAATCACTCAGAGGTTCAAGGAAATGAAAGTCTCTCACATTTGCCTACTACCCTCTGTTGCCCAACATAGTATCAAATGTTACAACAGTGTAAACTCTTCCATACATGCAGATAAAAGGTTCTGCGGGAGACAGTTGTGATGAACTGCCTGGAATATAGAGATAGTGTCTGATTTTTGAGAGGGGAATATTCCCTCCCAAAGCAATTATTAACATCCCTCATGCTATGAAATGTTTGTGTTGTAGTACCACTGCCTGGAAAGTGAATCTGGCTTCTTCATTACCTTTGATTATAAAAATAAGGGGCCACTCTTGTGGGGCAAAGAATAAAGGCTCAAAGAAGTCATCAAAACCCTGCTTTCAAAAGATATACACTCTTTAAACCCTGGAAATGGAAAAGAAAGGCATGCTTGATGAATTAATATTGGTTCTCAAAAGAGATTGCTAGAAACCCTAAGTGGTCAGGATTGCTGGGAAGAATGACTAAGGACCCAAAGAACAAATGGAAGTGCAAACAAAAGAAGGGCACAGACCAGAATCAAATGTCAGTCAGATTCTATTAAATGCCTTCCTAGGTTCACCAGCACGATAACATGCCATTCTCTATGGTGACTCAAATACAACTTTAGAACACTTTATGGAAACAGTAGGATTTTTTAAAGTAACAGGCTGATTTAGTGGGTGGACTGACCAATGACACCAAGCAGAGGCAACAACTCAAAACATACTGAGGGATGAACACATAGAACGACATGTGTCCCACACACCACAACTGAAGATATTGCAGGTGGGTTGCACTGTCTCTACTTATGAAAAGTGATTCATCTAGCATGGCACATTCACATTTCATGAACCGGCGTGACTTTTATCTGTATTATCATCCATTTATTTACCTGGGTGTCTGAAACCTTTTATTCAAATGAATGAAATGTTGCAATTGCTGCAACACACGAGGTACTTGATATTTGCTATCTCTTTAAACGGCACAGCAACCATTTTATTTAGATATACCTATCCCCATTTTACAGATAAGGAATCAAATAAAGAAACTTTTCTTAAGATTACATAAAAGCATTAAAAACAAGATTACATAAAAGTAGCAGAGCCTAGATTTGGATCAAAATATCAGGCTTTAAATCCAGATTTCACCGATACATGTTATCTCCTTGTGTTTTCCTTCCATGTGTTCTCCTATTTTTTTAAGCAGCATATTAATTTCCTACCATTTAAAACAGAACTCAGATTTTAAGAATTTAAAAAGCACTCTATGTACAGCTTCCTTATTAGCCAAATTTTGGAAAGTTAAATTTTATCTCCAGTAAGAAGATACTTCAAAAATAGATGAATAAATTTCCAACTCTTAATCAAGGTAAAATTTCATGACCTCTCTTTCTGTGTTCACCCCCTTCTTCTTATACCCCAGTGTTTTTTATGTGATTTGATAAAAATTAAATTTCAATTAAAATTCATTCCAGGGGAATTTTGTACCTCTCCTTGAGATGATTAGTGACAATTCGCAATCTCACAATTATGATAAATGATCATTGTAATAAAGAGACGCCGAAAGAAGAGGCTCAATTGGTTGAAGTAGGAAAGGAGTCAGACATTCCACAACTGGGACTTGACTTTATTGAGTCTCTATACCTTTTCACTTTACAAGCACTTCTTGTGTATCTCCAAAGTGGTAGAAAATATGTTGAATGTGTTGGGGAGACAATTAATATAAATTCATTGCAATGCCAGTTTCATGAGCGAGACCACTTGGCTTCCATAATGCAAAATTTTAATTGGAACAAGAATGAGCCCATGACCCAAGCTAGGTCGATCATAATATTTTTTCCAAAAATATGGGACTATGAAAAAAAAGAGAGTAATTAAGATTAACTGTCTTCTGGTAGCTGGAACCGTAACATGTGTGCTTGGAAATTGTGAGGTCAGAAAACTCTGGACATAATCAGATAAGCTCATGCAGGAGAAGCCAGTTTGCAGCATAAGAAGACAATAACGCAGCAATACAGAGACGAAGGGTGGAGAGTCTGTACAATTTTCCAGTCCCTAGTTCTAGTACCTTCCAGAGGCCTGTGTACAATGGTTATGATCCTGCACTCGGGTTCACAGAAAAATCCCCATGCCCTCAGAATAAAATTTTCATTTCAAATTAAACCAACTTGAGTTAATTTTGCATGTGTGGAACCCATTAAGCTCAATATAAGAAGCCACCGTCACCTGAACTTGAAGTAAAATTATTTGATGATGCCATAACCAGTTCTGTATCCCCAATATTCTAGCATTCATCGAGCAAACCCTTTAAAATGGCCAGCATGCCCACCTTTCTTTTTTTTTTTTTTTTTTTTTTTTTTGAGACAGAGTCTCACTGTGTCACCCAGGCTGGAGAGCAGTGGCATGATCTCGGCTTACTGAAACCTCCACCTCCTGGGTTCAAGCAATTCTCTGCCTCAGCCTCCCTGGTAGCTGGGACTACAGGTGCCCACCACTATGCCAGGTTAATTTTTTTTTTTTGTATTTTTAGTAGAGACGGGGTTTCACCATGTTGGCCAGGTTGGTCTTGAACTCCTGACGTCATGATCCACTCGCCTCGGTCTCCCAAAGTGCTGGGATTACAGGCATGAGCCATCGCTCCCGGCCACCTTTCCTTTCCTTTATCCACATGGCTTTCTCTTCTCAGGAAGGTCTCTCAAATATTTTTGCTCTATATTTGACTCACATAAGAGCTGCTTTAGATAACAAAATCTTAGCTGAAAAAGCTATTTAGCTCATTTTCTGTCTGACCCTGCATGTATCTTGGGCATCCAGATGCCTAGGTACAATTTGATGATGCTAACAAGTCAGTCTGCCAGTTTAACTTGCTAAGCAAACATCGTCAACATTAAATGCCCGAAGTGTGTAAAGTGCTGAAGAAATAATATTATTCAGATAGAAAAAAAATACATGGCCTGGTTGGACAAAAGTGCTGCTCTCACTTCCAGTAGGGGAAGACACATAGGCAGCGGACGCATAAAAATATCTTGACTCAGTGCTTGCTTGGGACAATTATGGGATCTTAAGATATTGCAGTATATCTATTCACTATCCAATACCCCAGTGAGGGCTTGTGCTCAATTGCAGCTGCCAGGCGAGTGCAGAATGGACAATGTGACACAATCTCCATGGGAAAACAGCCCAGAATTTAGGAACAAAACACACGCTGCTCAACTATCTAATTTCCTAAATCACTCATGAATATATTTCCATATGCAGTAACAGCTAAATTATTTCACGTATGCCCCATCTTGTCTAACACATCAGGATTTACGAAAAATAAGAAGCTGAAGACTGGACGGAGAGGACAGAGAACATATCCACCAGGGTGAGCAGTATCAGTTCACAAGTTCAAAACTTCCATACTAGCTTCATAGCCAAATACCAGTCTTTTGATTCCTTTTGCAAAATAAATAACAACATGTAGAATAGAAAAACCGTGTCTTAATTATTATAAGAATTCCTTAGTAAAGTCAACCACTGCGAGAACATGAGAATTTCTAAAATGGGCACCCACACTAACAGGAATTTTTTTTTTTTTTTTTTTGAGACAGAGTTTCGTTATTATTGCCCAGGCTAGAGTGCAGTGGCATGATCTCAGCTCACTCTAACCTCCACCTCCCGAGTTCAAGCAATTCTTCTGCCTCAGCCTCCCAAGTAGCTGGGATTACAGGCGCCTGCCACTACACCCAACTAATTTTTTGTATTTTTAGTAGAGAGGGGGTTTCATCATGTTGGTCAGGCTGGTCTCAAACTCCTGACCTCAAGTGATCCACCCACCTCAGCCTCCCAAAGCCGTGAGCCACCATGTATGGCCAGGGATTACAAGTGTGAGCCACTGTGCCTGGCCAGGAATTCTTTGTTTGATGTAGTCCCAGCTACTATAGATGTGGCACAAACTATAAAAATGCTCTTTTTTTTTTTAACTTTTTGCCTGAAAAAGAGCAGAATTGCCTAGTGTTTATGATGGTTTTATAAACTGGGAGTGCAGATACCAGAATGGTGAAGACTGGCACATAAAAAATCATTATAGAAATATTAAGGAATTGGAAATAAATGATTAAGGACACATTTATTATTTTAGCTTATGGGGAATTGCCAGAGTGGAGATTAAGATCCAAGTAGGAGATATAAAGAATAATGGGTAGATGGAATTCATAGAATTCTGTCCAGAGATGAAAATAGTCTGAATTCTCTGCTTCCTCAGCTAATGTTTTCACTGGGGTGGAAGGAGCAGGGTTTCTGCATATACTCCCATGGCTTCGAATTCCAGCTTGAATTCTGTTTACTATCTGTGAAACCTTGAACAACATTCTTAAGACTGTTTTACTTTCTCTTTACTCCTCCGTGAAATGAGATTAATAATGCTTGCCTTACAAGGCTAGCATTATAAGGAGAAAAAGTGACTGTTACATAAAACATTAACATAGTACTTAACAGAGTAAGCGCTCATACACGCTAGCAAGTCTACATTCATTGGTTCATTTACTTAAAATGCTACCGGGAAGTTGCTATGGTCTGAATATTTGTACCCCCTCCCAAATTCTTACAGTGAAACCTAACCCCTCAGATAGTGGTATTAAGAGGTGGGACCTCTGGGACGGGGCAAAGATCTCCTGAGTGATATTGTTGTCCTTGTGAAAGAGGCCTGAGGGAGCCTGCTTGCCCCTTCAACCATGTTGAGAATGCAGTGGGAAGTTGCCATCCATGAGGAATAAGCTCTCACCAGACACTGAATCTCCCTTGATCTTGGACTTCTCAGCCCCTAGAACTGTGAAAAATAAGTGTTTGTTTTTAATAGGCCACCCAGTCTATGGCATTTTTGTGATAGCTGCCTGAACACGCTAAGGCTGAAAGGGACCTGATTTGTCAAAATTTACATAACTAGATTGTAACAGAAGTGGGTTTAAATTTACTAATACTGAGGGGAGCCAGTCTTGCATTATACTCTGAAGAGTTCCAGGAATATCTTCCCAGGTCCATATTTAAAAATATAAAATATATCTTCTTTAACTTTCCAAGTTTGCTAAGCAGCTACTAAGTCTCCAGCACCTCTACCCTTCATTTTAATCTCTCCCACAACCCCCACTACCACACAGGTACTTTATCACCTAGAAAAAAGAATGGAAAAGAAGGAGCAATTATGCACTATTGCCTTCCTGCCTTGCCCTGCTGATCTGCACCATCTTTAGGATCTCATACATCCATGAGTGGGGTGTGGTTCTTATTTTGCTTATTGTGCACCGCCCCCCCAAAAAAAAAGCCATCTTGATAATCCTCTTTTTTTTTTTTTTGAGATGGGGTTACACTCTTGTTGCCCAGGCTGGAGTGTAAGGGCGTGATCCCAGCCCACTGCAACCTCCGCCTCCCAGGTTCAAGCGATTCTCCTGCCTCAGCCTCCTGAGTAGCTGGGATTACAGGCATGTGCCACCACCCCAGGCTAATTTTGTATTTTTAGTAGAGACGAGGTTTCTCCATGTTGGTCAGGCTGGTCTGATAATCCTCTTCTTTCTTGTGTTATCTCTTCCAAATTTCCAAATAATCTTACCCAAAGGGACCCCAATTTAAATTTTAAAATTGAAATAAATATGTCAATAAACCTGTTTTATAAACACATGTTGAATTTAGTAGTTCCATTTTAAACATGAGGAACCTGGGGCCACTAGCCCAAAGTCAAACAGCTCATGAGCCTTGGAGCCTGGTGTTGAATTCGGTCTGACCCCAAAATGGAGCTGTTAGAGTCTCCCCCTGGAGGACACTAAAAAGACAGCAAACCCAGGGTACATGGCTTCTGCTCAAGGAAGAAATGATATACATCTTTCAAATGAGAGCAATTAGAGGGTAACATAATAAAAAGTAAGGATATATTCAGCACAGACTATATCCATGCACATTCCAGAAAAGCACATCAAGGAAAAGATCCCTGTGGGGGAAGGTTAATCAAAGAGGTCTTTTGAAGGATATAAATGTTGAGTCCTTAATATTTCAATTCATTATTTGTGAACTGCTTCTGTCACAAAAGGGAGAAATGGTCCCCTTAACCTTCCACCCAGGAAAACTACTTTCTACTTTCTCTTTCCTGCCTTAATTCATGCTGCTGTCTTCACCTGGAAGGGGTGATGATAATGATGAAGAAGATGATGATGATGATGTTAATGATGACAAACAGTATAACGAATCTACCATTTATTGAGGGGTTACTTTGCGTCAGAATCTGTGTTAAAAGTTTTATGTGCATGATCTCATGGAATTCTGAAAACAGTGATAAGGAGTAACAATGACTATTCTCCCCAGTTTACAGATAATAAAATGAGATTGTAAGAGGTTAAGAAATGAATACAAGGTCACACAAGCAGTAAGTGGCAAAGATGGGAACAAGACATAACCTCTGTGTCATATGTAACTGCCTTCACGCCCCTTATCCTATCTGTCTAAGGTTGTGGTTCATAAACTTTAGGGAACATCAAAATCCCCTGGGGATTGTGTTAAAGTAGACTGCCCTCCACTCCCAGAGCTTCTTAGCAGCTGGGGATGGGGAGGGCATGAGACTCTGTATTTCTAACAAATTTCCAAGTAATGCTGATGCAGCTGGTCCTGGGACCATACTTTGAGAACCACTGTCCTAATTTAAGTTTTCCATGTTTTCTCATCTATGAAATGGGATAATTCTAGTACCAAACTCATAGAGATCTTATGAGGATTTAAAGACCTAGTTCATGTAAAGCTCTTAGAACTACCAGAACCAGCAATGAACACATTGTGATGTTAGTCATTATCAGTGTTGTCTTTATCGTTGGAGGCCAAGCTCAAATTATAATAAACAATTTAGCCAGAATAATTTTCCTTTCCACATCCTAATATTGCCTTTATACCACCACATCTGTGTTTACGTTTTGCTCTATGTTAATTATATTAGGGTCTAACTTTCACACTAAATCATCAGCACAAGGCAGAAAATATGTGTTCATTTAAAATGTTTTCCTGTCTTCCACAGTGCCTAGCACAGTGCTCCACAAGCATTGATTGAATTGTTTATTGCTTGATAATGAAATGATTCAAAAGCAGAGTGTGAAGCTAGAAGACATTTAAATTATACTATTAGATTCAATTTAGCAGAAGACTTAGTAAGATCCCTTAGGTCTCCTGATTCAGAGTCTAATGCCAGCCCTCAGTTTGTTACACAGACCTAGATATAGCCATGAAAGAAGAGATAAACAGCCAATGTAATTACAGTGACATAGTGGTTAAACTTTTATAGCTGAGGGGATCAGCAAATAGGATTTTGAAAATCAAATTAAAACTGTCATTCCACAACATTAAGTTTCCAGAATTTTCACTTTTTAATATTAATGATTTTTTTCCTCCAAAAAGGAACAAACAATGCTAATTCTACTGCTACAATACTGTTAATGAAGAAATAAAGAATAATTTATCATTGCATAATTAACACAGTACAGCTAAGCATGTTTTAATGATTTTGTATAATGGCCTCTCATAACTAGATGATACTTGTTAGTCACAGAGAAAATAAAAGAACTATGCTAGGAATCATTAATGAAGATGGATAAACTGACCAGGATTTTATTTTATTTTTTGTATAAAGTGTTTACAAGATGACTTGGCGTGTCTTGGCACTGGTTTATTCCTGAATCTGTAGGTGACCAGATGGTTAGTAAAATATTTTAACTGATTCAAGACATAAAAGGCTAAGAATGCAACCCATGCAAATCAGCAGGCTTTCTTCTTCCGTGCTTCCAAATGAAATCAACTCTTAACTTTATTGGTACATTAGACATTGGAAGTAGGAGAATATTGCTATCTTTAGCCATTTTTAACACCCTTCATGAGAAGCAATAAGACTATTTATTAGAATTTTTTTGTTTAAAACATCTTAGGGGCCTGGGGATACGAGGAGACAAAAAAAAAATCAGAGGAGAAGATGAATTCAAGTTGGTAATGAACACAATCTCACAGCCACTCTTTCTTTTAATGTTGTTACCAAAATTAGATGTGTGAGTTACTAACAGTTGTATCTGTGGTTGATGCTGCAAAGATTTCAACATTTACATTCAATTAAAGCAGGTGTATCTTCAGGTTTGAGTTTTGGAGACAGAATGGATAGAGTTACCATTTGCCCATTGGAGAGGTTTTAAACAGGTGATCCCTATAGCCATATCTGGCATGAAGACATATTTATTTGACTCATTATTTAAATGATATTTTAGTTACTGTTCAATATATGCAAACTAGGAAATTACACATGAAATATATATTTCCAGCTGCTCTTTAGAATTCAAATCATCTAGCAACACTGAATCTGTGGCATATAATCTGTAGAAGATAGGTGGGAACTAGCTCCAGATCCAACTATATGTGTCTCCAGATCTCTCATCTTCAATGTCTCTTGTTGCCTGACATTCAACTCTGTTCCATCATTCGCATTACCTGCTTGACTCCTGTTGACACGTACATTTTTTACCTCGGTCTACTATATGTCTAACACAGTGGTTCTCAAACTGTGCTTCTCTAGCCAGTAGTACCAGCATTACCTGTGCATTTGTTAGGAATACAGATTTGCTGTCCCATCCCAGGCCTATTGAATCAGAAACTCTGGGAGTGGGACCCTGCACTCTGTGTTTAACAAGTCTGCAGATGATTCTGATGGACATTCAGGCTTGAGAAGCATTGATCTAGCATATTTTCTCCCATACATAAACCTTAAGTTGCTATCTATTCTTGGCATGCTCTCATTTTCAGAAATCGTTAGTAAAAACCCTTTTTTTGTCATTGTGAACTGTAGCATTATGGTTCTCACACATATTAAAATAGAGGAACAAAGAATGATCCTATGTGCAAAGCCACAGTCTTCTCCCAGGTTTTCTGTATTTGTGTTGAAGTTTTAATGGACTTTAAACTTTGTGTTAAATTATGTATAAATAACAAGTTTCTTCTTTGCTTGTTATTATAAATAAAAAAGCAAAGTGGCCCAGGTTTTCATGATAGAAGCTAAGGGAAAAAGGGAGACCCTATCTTTCACCTTGAAGAAATGATATAATAGAATTCTAAATAAGGATGTTCAAAACAAAAATGTTTTCTAGAACTTCCACATCACTTCCTCCACATCACTTTTCCTCATAGGCTAAGCACAGATCTACAGAGAGGGGACTGCACCAGGGTATGGGGACCACAAGGATGGTTCCTGTGGGAGCCAGCAATGCAACCATTTACCACAGCATCTGACAGTGTCTCTGAGTGGCTGACTGACATCAGTAGCCACATTCCTCTGGACATTTTGTTACATAGGAAAGTTTACCCTTTTTATTTTTAAGCTTCTCTTAGTTGAGTGTTCTTTTACTTGCAACTGAACACTTTCCTATCTGATATGGACACTGCACTATATATATATATACATATATATATATACACATATATATATACATATATATATATATATGGCAACACATTTTACAGACAATGAAAAATACAAAATATAATATCTTCAAATTATGATTGGGAAAAGACTATTTCTTTTGAGTCAAATTATGGTTTGAAAAACATTTATGTTCTTAAAATGATCATTATGAATTTTGAAATGGTGTTCTATGTTTCTTGTTTTATGAAATTTGGAAAACCAATGGCCATTTCCTCCCCCGTCCCCACTATGGCTTCATGATTTCATTAACTTTGGTCCTTTCCTAGTCTTCATTTCATTTTGAGATGTGAAAGTATAATCTTTGGAACTCATTCTCATATCCAAATTAATTCTCATGAATCTCAGACTATTGTCCTTCTTTGGACCACTTCTAGCTCCTTTTTGTCATTCTTGACATATTTTAATCACTACATTCTTTTTCATTTACATGTACCAAGTGTATTTTCTATTTTACTTCTGACATTTACATCACTTCACTGGTCCATTTAACTATAGTACAGACCTTAGAAAAAAATTATACTGATTGTGAACCATTTTTTATTCACTTTGCAAAGCTTTTGGGGGTTTTCTTTGCTTAATTTTCATATTTTTCTGTGCTTAAGTTCTCCACTTTTTTTTTTTAACTTGCCTAGACTCTTCGCTTCGCCTCAATTAACTTGCCATTTCACTCCAGAAAATATTAGGTTCATCTTATTATTTGGTCCTTTTCTTTCTAAATGATTTATTCTTATCATTCTTGTCCCAGTAAAAGGAATTAGGATATACCCAAAGATTTAGCTACACAGATATTCATTGAAGTATCATTTATAAAACCAAATATATGGAAACAATTGGTTGTCCAAAAATAGGAGAGTGAATTATCAATTGTAGTACCTCACACAATGAAATATTTTATAACCTTCAAATGGAATACAATCATATTTATAAGTATATAAATGTATCTAGTAGAACAAGCAGATTAATAAATCATTATATAGGGTATGATCTTATTTTATGGTAGGGTAACTAGGGAAAGTTGTATTCTCTTTTTTACATATTCTATTTTATCTGTATAACCTAATTTATTGATATAGTGCCTTAAGCTCTTCCATCAAAATCTTGATCTATAAGCTTGTCAGATAGAAAGATGCCCATCTCTGTGTGGTGATGCATGAGAAAGAAGCACAATTTTAACTCCTAGAGTATTGAAGAAAAATGCAGATATCTTTACTGAAACTTTTTTCCAAGTATACAGAGGGATTAATGGAAAATTGCATCTCACAACATTCAGCAAACTCCCTTAACTTTTTACACAGCAAAACTTCCTATAAGTTGTTTTACCACTTGATCTTCCCCATATCTCACACCAAGTAGTAGCTACCCCACTTTCTCTTTTCTTTTTCCCAAAGTCCTCCAAAACATCTCTATTTATTAGTTTGTATTTTTTCTAAATTTCTTCTTTCTTTCCAGTTGCTTTTTCACCAAGTAAATCAATCCAAATATATTATCCTCTTTCTGGCTTCCCTACTTATATTTCCATATATTCTGATAGATTAACAGCCAAACAAAAGATCCCCCTTAAAATTATGGCAGAAAGGGAATGGGGACATTGGATAAATTGCATAGATTTTTCAATATTTATATTATGCTTTACTAATGGTCTTTCCATTACATTATACTTTGAGGTTAATAACATAGTTTTAGTCCCAATTACATCTGCTATAAATATCTTTTACCTTTACAATTAGTAAAAATGAAAAGATGAATCCTAGCAGAAATGCCCTGGCAGATCTCACTATCACAATTGCTCCATTAAATATGCCCATCATTTCTAGCTTTTGCCCCTTTGCTTTGGATTCACGACAAAGCCTGGTTTGACCAATATATTTTATTTGTCATGGGGGTAACAACTGGAGAGTTTCCACTTACTCTTCAAAGTTTTGACCTTACTCATTGTCAAGGGTTGCTAAACCTGAATGCCTGCTTTCATTTGCAGCCAGGGACTATGGGAATCCCAAAACTCCACAGACAATATGAAGCTCATTCACTTGCATTGCATGCAGTGCAAGTGGGCCAGTTTCAGAAAACATACCCACAGGCACTTCATCACTTACAGGGTGGGCACCACTTAGTGTAGGATCACATCCAAAACCCAAAAGCCAAAGCCAAAAGAATGCATAATGAACGGGAATAAAGAGCGTTTAACAAAACAGCAATCACAAGCCTCATCAAGCTTCCCAAGACATTTTACAAACCACCATCAAAAACTCATTGTTTCCAAACATCTCTTTAATAATCCTGACTTCCTAACAATTCTGGAGAGGAAAAAAAAATTGGTAGCATGTGTTTCAATGGCATCACCACATATCTGATGAAGAGCAGACAGAGCAGGAAGTAGAAATAAAACTTAAATCCTACCAAACCCCAACTTTCAAACACATGTACTGCAAAAGCTACTGTTCCATGCAAACCAGCACTGACATATTCTTTATTTTCTATTTGAGGATTTTATATTTTAACTGACATAGTCTACAGTTTTTTAATTCTCTCACAACCTGTACTTCTCGTAAGTTTACAAATCTTGAAAAAAATGTAGCTGTAAAATCAGGGCCACAAAAAATCGAAATCTACGTTTTCATATCCAAGAAGGCATTTATGCCAATGTTTTGCATAAAACCCTTAGAAAACATAACAAGAAGGAAAAGAGGGCAGGAGTTTATAGTCGGCTTGTCATTTCTAATTAGCACCAATTCCCTTAACTATTTCATTCATGCTTTCCAAGATAAGTGCTTTTACATGGGGAGCATGCCTTAAAGAAAGAACATGGGCTTTTAGCAATCACCCCGTGGAAATAGGACCTTCACAATAGGTGCAATTTTTGATACATTAAATAAAAGTCTTCATTACAGTCATCTGAAAGGAAAAGATGTTACCCTTTACTCTATCCTGCATGTAAAAGACATTACAACAAAGAAATAAAGTTGCCATTCAAGAGTTCACAATTTGACAGTGTCAATAAATCTTATTAAAATTCTTTTTATGATTCTTCATTTGTCTTGTAATTTGACAGAATTAGGGACTAAGTTTTTGACTGTACAGCTCAAGGCACACAAAGAACTTTCAGTAGCATAGAATATTTAACTACATAAAGCAAAAAAAAAAAAAAAGAAAAGAAAAGAAATACATTCTCTGTAGGTCTGAATGGTTTCTTATCACATTTATGATAAAATCTAAACTCATTCATTCCCACGGCCTATAAGGAAATAATTGATCTGACATCTCCTGTTATCACACCTTCAGACTTACTGACTCTATTCCACACACAAGGGTCTTCTTGTCCTTGAACCAACCAAAAATATCCCCCCACAGGCCCTTAGCACTCACTTGCTTCCTAAAAGGGTCTGTCCTCAGAGTTTTGCATGGATGTCTCCTTGATCCCATGTTGCCATTCAGGTGTCAAGTCACTTGCCCTCTATACAAAAAGACCTTCCCTGATCTCCTTATCTAAATTCAACACTCATCCCTTACTTCCTGGCAGATATCATTTTTTATTATGTCATAGCAGTCATCACTCTCCGTAATAATCTCATTTATAGTTTTTTCTTGTTTATTGTCAAGATTCCTCCTCCTTTCTTGGTAATATAAGCTCCATGAGAAGAAGAGCACTACATTTCTAGAGTCCAATAAATACTTGCAGACTACAAGAGAGAAGTTGAAGAAATTTAAGAGAAGGGCTGGTTCATTGGCTGACCCAGATAGAATCTACTCTACCTTAGAAGTAGGATAGCTGGGTGGAGGGATGACTTTGGCACAAATGCATAATAGAGAGCTAACATTTCATCTCCATGTGACGCACAGCAGGGAGGAGAGTGCTTTCTCTAGGCATTTAGCACTAGACATGGTTCTGACACAAATGCCTTTCTTTCCTGGGCTTTGTTTGAAGACTTTGAATGAGGCAACCCCTAGGTGGGAAAGGTCTCAAGAAGGCAGCTGTTCCTGAAACTGCCCTTTTTCTCTTTTCACCTTTTCTCCCCCTGGTTCTGCACACTATAACTGTGATCCTTGGAAGCTCGGAAGGCCGTGGTCCCCATGCCAGCTAGTCTTTATGAGTGTAAAGGGTTCTCTTGTTAATCCTTACTGAAGTGTAGAAAATGCCTTTTCTTTTTCCTATACGTCAGCCAAGCAACTTGTATTAAATATCTCGGTGAGAGCAAAACCCAGGAATGAATTTACCGATTTTATTTTAAGTTGATTTGGCAGGTAAGGCTTATACGCACTTATTCAAGTAAACTTCCCTTGTATTCATCCTGTCTGAAGTGGGAGAAAATGGATGTCATAGTTGTAGCAGAATCTTCAGAGCTTTAGTTGCAGCAGAATCTTTCAGACCTTCAGAGCTTTAAACAAATTTAGGTTGTTACTACTCTGGGGCATTGATTCAAGGACAGTCAGACAATCAACAAATAATAGAGCACCAACTATGCACTAAACATCGCCCTAATACTGCACGATCACAGAATTTAGGGGAGATATAACTGATTTTTAATAAATTAATCATCTTAAAGAGTAAAAGAGAAAATATTACTATCTTTATAGATGCTAAAACATCATTTATGAAAATTCATTCTACATTCTTAGTTTTTAAAAATAAATCACTTAAGAAATAGAAATTCACAGCTATTCTAATACAAAAAAAGTTTTGGAGTCGGTAAGATTTTAACTTCTAAATGATTTTTACGTTTTAAAAACTTAACCATTATGACAACTTTGAGAGGTCACTTTTTTTTGTTTGTTTGTTTTCTCATTAAAATGTTGACTCTAAGACTAACAGAGGTTAGGACACCCAAGTCAGGGGCAGTGGCTCTTGCCTATAATCCCAGCACTTTGGGAGGCCGAGGTGGGTGGATCTTTTGAGCCCAGTAGTTTGGGACCAGCTTCAGCAACATGAAGAAAGCCTATCTGTATGAAAAATTAAAAAAAAAAAAAAAAGCCAGGCCTGTTGGCTCATGCTTGTGATCTCAGTTACTGAAGAGGCTGAGGTGGGAGGATTGCTTGACCCTGGGAGGTGGAGGCTGCACTGAGCCAAGATTGTGCCACTGCACTTAACCTCAGTGATGGAGTGAACCCTGTCTCAAAAATAATAATAATAATAAAAAAAGACACCCAAAGCCACAAAGTTACCAAGTCAAGAACAAGAACACAAAGCAATGTCTATTTGACTCCAAAATAAATGGTCTTTGGATTCATCATGTTGCCCACACGGTCAAAAGAAGAACAAGATCATTTATATTATACTTCATTTAACTTCTTCCCAGAGAGCTATGACACGTAAGGCCAGAGTCAAGCATCCAGCTGAACATATGCATGATATTTTGGAAAAACTGAAATATTATAAGGATTGACTTGGCATAGGGCTATTGTATTAACTCTACTCAAAAGTGATCTCAAGGTAAAAGTCACATTGTGTTAATGGTGTAAAGGATCAATGTTTAGTTGAGCCAATATAGCAGAGACCACTGGTTGCTGAGCTAATTTCAGGTTCTCGTCTTCATCTGGGTGAGCATCTAGATTCCATGTCATAGTCTCCTTTGCAGTTAGCGGTGGCTGTGTACCTGAGAGCCACGAATGGAAAGGGAAAAGTGTTATGTACAGTTTCCAGGTATAACCCATACAGATCTCTTAGATGCTTCTGTGTGTTCATTTCCCTGCACAGCTGGCCAAAATGCAGATAACCTCCAAAGACACATGATGAAGGTATCAGAGTCTCTATCAGCCTGGACTCCTTCTTCCCCCAAATGACAACGCGAAAGGAAACCTCCCAAAGCCATTCGCCTACTTACTACAATGACTGATAAATAAATCTTCTCTTGGAGCTATTTTACAACAGTGGTTGGCCCACATTAACAAACAAGATTTCATCATACTTATTGAACTATACTAATAGCTAATAATTTCCCCATGCTTTGGACTCAGCCTCTGTAGCCCATTAACGTCTTTCCTTATCACCTTTGGCACTTCTGTTTATGGCTTTCTGTTTCTGGACATTTTTCCCTAACCCCAGAGAAGAGATTTCATAGCCCTCTAAGCTCTTCTCTTTTGGGTTTCAGAAGCATGGAACAAATTAATCTTATGAACTCTTACTTGAGCCAATGCCAGGAGAACTTTATCACACTAGGCCCCCCAAAAGACCTGCCCTTGGCCCTGAATGCATTCCTCAATCTTGTTTTGCTTTCCTGAGAAATCTTTGGTAGGAATTTTTATATACTTCAGGTGTGAATAGTGTTTCATCTCTAGTATTGCCAAACTGAGACCTGCCTTGGCACAGTAGGCACTCAATAAATATTTCTCCAACATTATCTATCCTTCAGGCCTTTGAGAGGATTGGGCTAGAATCTCAATGCTCTAATTTTGCGTATCAGAACAACATTATGCCCAAAGTAAAACTAAAAAGCAAAATCTCTAAATGCATTGCTGCCTCACCAAACAGAAGTCCAAATTCAATTCAATTCTTTCTTAATCAAGCTGAAAAATCCCATAGAGGAAATTCAGAAGGTTCGTAGGATGTCTTCCATCTCTTAGTAAGATAAAGTGGGCCCAGACACATGGCCATTTTTCAGCACATATATGGAATACAAGCTGTATGATATCTTGAGTGTGCCCAAATTGGTTTGCCTGAAAGCAGCAAGAATGCCTTAGCTTGTGCTTGCTCTCCTTCAGGAAAATAAAAAGAAATATGACTGCTTGCCCTTGCCTAATTCCAAGTGAGTGAAGGACACTGTAAGACATTAAAATATTATCTAAAAGCATAATAGATATATAAGCATTAGGCATTAGCTTGTATCTTCATTGTTTGAACCCTGCATCATTACTGCTAATGTTTAGGTTTATACATTCTCCTATGGAAGGGTGTTGTTTTGTTTTTGTAGCTCTGTGTGCTCTCACTCCACTTGAATTTAGTTATTTGTTTGTAACCAAAGAGGCCCCTCAGCTGAAAGCAACTGCAATTACGCAGCCAGTTCTCGTTCTTCCAGCGCTTTGTGAGCACACAAAGCTGGACCTTGGAATCAACTTTTACAACACGTTCCTTTTCTTTCCTGACTCCACAATCCCTCTGAATGTATTCAGAATATAAAGAGTCTAATCATTAGCACTTTTTTCTTTTCAGGGATTTAAAATACCTACAAGCTGAAGTTGTGCCTATAGAGAATGCTCCCTCTCTACTTCCATCTCTCATAGTTTATTCTTTCTCAAAAGAGAGAAGCAATTTGCCTGAATATATCGCCATTTCACCAAATAAAACCAACACCATCCAATCAATATAACTTCTCTTGAGCAAACAAAATAGAAATGGGACTCATGAAAGAAATACATTGACATTTACATCCATGGCCATACTTTTCAGTAGCTGCTCACCTAATCTATTCACTTAGCAGCATTCTCAGATACTAAAATTTTTGTATTGAGATGCACAATATGACAATCAAATCATAGGTCAAAACAGTAAGCTTTTTACAACATAATAGCATCTCAGTAGGACACATGTTTCTGTGAAGGGATTCGCCACATTGCAGAAACAAATGGGATGGAATGGCCTCATATATAACATCAGAGAGCAAGAGTTTGTAATACCTGTCAGACTGTCTTTCTTGTCTGATAGCTCCATCAGATAAAATCATATATGCATTATACTATATGTCAGTGGTGTGCAATACAAATATAACATAAGTCACATATGTTATGTTACATTTTTACTAGCCACGTGAAAAAATTTAAAAAGGTGAAATCAATTTCAATACTATATTTTACCCAATAGATTCAAAATACAATTATTTCAACATGTACTCAATATTGTTATATTTTTTAATGAGCTATTTTACATCCTTTTAACCTACTAAAGCTTTTCTGTTTTTTTCGTCTTTTTATGAGATAAGGTCTCACTGTGTCACCCAGGCTGGAGTGCAGTGGCAGTATCACGGCTTACTGCAGCTTTGATCTCTGGGGCTCAAGTGATCCTCCCCACTCAGCCTCCTGAGTAGCTGACACTACAGGCATTCACCACCATGGCTGGCTAATCTTTTATTCCTACCAAGTCTTCAAAACCTGTTGTGAATCTGAGAAGTGTACATCTCCATTTGGACCGGCCATATTGCAAGTGCTAATGGCCACATGTGGCTAGTGGCTACCATATTGCACAGCCAAGGTCTGTACACTTTAGTTAATGTTTGGGCACAGAAACATCATGTATGGCCTTCCTGGAAGGCTCCCCACTACCATTTAATCGTTTACTTAGCCCTGTTCACAGTCAGAGCTCAGAATTCTGAATTCAACACATATGCATTGTCTATAATGTTCCAGGCAGTCTTCTAGGGGCAGGGGATAAGGAGTGGACAAAGCAAAGTTTCTGTCTATCATAGAGAAACACATTTAGAGAGGATGTTTACATCTTAGTGAGTATAAAGGCATAGTGAGTCCAAACATCATTTATCCCTAGAAGTCTGTCTTGATTCCTTGATAGGACGGCTTGCTCCATCATATCCTTTCACAGCACACACTCTTACTTCATAGGATTTTTCCTAGTTTAAATTAGGTGCTTAATATCTAACTTCCTTAAATGACAACAAGATTGATGTAGGTAAAGAGACAATATATCTTAATAAATGAACGTACCATCCCCAAACCTACCCAGTACAGTCAGTGCCTGGCACAGAGTAGGTGGATAAAAATACTTGTCGAATATAAGGACAGAATGAGAGAAGTAAGGAGGAGGTGAGAGACAGAGGGGGAAGGAAAGAAGGAAGGAAAGAAGGAAAGAAGAACGGGAAAAAATGTGCACTGGTGAAAGGTGAGACAATGCTCTGTAAATGTCAGCAATGTTCATTAGCTAAATGGCATAGCCAGCTGCCATAATTTACCACTCCCTTCCTTATTTATATGCAGCCTTTTCTGAATTCTTCCAAGCTCAATAGAACTGGTACTTCATACCTTGTATTTCATTTGCTCTTTTCCTGGATTTACTTCAACAATGTTTCAATTTGAACATGACCTAAAGATATGGATGAAGGGGCTATATATTTTACAGGCACTCCAGTAAATTTTGAAAACTCTTCTATCCAGTATATATTGCATCATACACATTCAAAAGATGCTGGCTGGGTTTCCCACTGTCATCTTGCCAAGAATTAACAAGGTGGGTATAAGCTGCCTAGACATAGTATTAATTACAGAGATATGCAGATATTTCCCTTTTATTGGCCTATTCACTCTTTACTGATCAGCGGACTATAAATTAGTGGAGAATCAGAAATTCTTTTGGGGGCCTGCAGTTTCATTTTTGTTGTTCATTTCTTCTAGCACACATTGTATACACAAATTGGGCATTTTCAAATTTATGTTTCAGTCAAGAACTTTGAAATATCATTCATATATATATATATACACACACACGCACACATATATATATACACACATATATATGGCTTTTGAATTTCTTTCCTCCAAAATCCATAATTTACTAATTCTTTCATGTATTTGATCACTCTATGGGTTCAGCTAAGTCCGCCAATGCTGAAATTGTTTGCAAGTCTGCTTTGCCACCCCGCCACCAACACACACACACAGCATCAATTCAAACTTATGGACCCTGATATTCACGAAAAGTCATGGAACCCCCCGGGGGATGTTCAGCTGCTTCTTCCTCTAGCGTTTTCAAAGTGTAGTCCAAGTATCGGCAGCACGGACACCACCTGGGAAATCCTTAGCAATACAAATTCTCAGGCCCTCTCCAGACATGCTGAATCAGAGAATCTGGGGGCGGGGCCTGCAATCTGTGTTTTCTGGAACCCTCCGTGGGATTCTGAACACACAGTGGAGTTTGAGAACCACTACCCTTAGAAGTGAATCAGCACAACGCACACTCACATTTTGGACGCTCAACACGTTCACATAATACAAAAACATATTTAGAGAGCATGTTTAAATCTTAGAATAATAAAAAATACATATAAACCCAAATCAAATTTACAAAGACTGGCACAAGTATTAAACAAAAAAGAACTCTTACAGCAAAAATCCGTCAAATTTCATCGTAAAAGGGAAAATAAGCCACTGGTGCTATTTTAAAATCTACAACATTTCTGAAGTGAAATTCCAAGTTGCCTTTCAGTTTTTGTTTACAGTATTTTTAGAGCTCCCTCTGCATGCTATGTTTTCTTTTAGACATACTGCCAACTTTTTGTATCTGTCATCTGGTTTTGAAAATGAGGTTTCTCACCATTTTTTTAAGCATTTCACCATTTCAGTTGTCACACTGATGCTTGGTACATCTGGAAGTTCCTGTGATACGATGGATTTAGAGCCTACATTTAGAAGCGTATCAAATAATTACCAACATTTAATTTCATGTTCCTTCAGAAAAAAAATCCATTAGAGGTTCTACAGCTCTTCTTCCATGCCATCCCCTAAATTAAATTTCATATTAAAAAAGCTAGATTCAAGGATTTCTCAGGCTTCACATTTTCAAATTTAAATTCAAAAAAGCAGAAAGGAACAATGTAGAAAGAAATGATTTATCCCAGGGGTTTGTTCTTTTTAACTAGAAGATAAACTGAAATTCAGGAGGGGAGGAGAAGAAGCAGAGGAGGCAGGCTGGCACCCTCATCTTATTTTGCTATGTGATTCCATATTGCTTTGGGGTTTCTATTTTAAGCACCAATCATTTATTTTTTTTTCCTCCAACACAAATGTGTTCTTGATGACTGGGATATTGTTTTAATTATTTTTAATAAAACTCATTTGACAGCCTTAAACTTTGATAATGTTTCTCCAAAAGGCTTCGATATTAAACAAAAGTATCCTCCCATTTCAAAACTGCAAGATGACTTCAGAAAGTTAATTAATGTCACTTTCAGAAGAATCAGGCTGTAAAGGCTGTTTGGGATGGTAGCAAAGAGCGTGAACTCAGGAGTCAAATGGCTTAGGTATGAATTCAGCCCTGTCACTTACTTGCTGGATGACCTTGAGCAGTTCCTTAAGCTCTGTGTGTCTGAGCTTTCTCATCTATAGAAAGCACATCAGAATTCATTTAGCTCTTGCGTTGTTGTTTGGGAGGATCAAATAAGGCAGTGCTTGTAAAGGGTCTAGCATGCAGCCTAATATGTAATATTAAGTATTTATTGACATCCTTTTATTGATAATATTTTAATAACTAGTTCATCTCTGAAATTATGCTTTATTCAATCATTTAAGTTAGGGACAAGTATTTTAATACTTTCCATCCTGGTGTTTGCTAATTTGCTATAAACTTGTCAAAATGAATGATGAGGTGATGAATAGACGGGTAAGTGGATGATCCCAACGCGATGTTAGTAGGGGGGCTTTCGTGGGAAGCTGGGAACATGAAGCACCACATTCCCCACAATTGGCCATTCCTACCCAAAAGTGCCCTCCACCTCCTCCTCCCATCCACACCCCGCGCCAACCAACATGAAACTACCCCCTAACATATAAACACATGGGCAAGCAGAAGAATTCTCACTGCTCATTTATCTGTGGGAAACAGGCAGCTCCCCACCAACTACTGCAAAAGCTTGCCCTTGCTTTTTTCAAGGCACAAAAGAATTTGAGGATACGGTTAGGCATCAAGTCAATGTTGTCATCACATCTTCTAAATTTTTCCTTTTAAATATACAGACATTTAGATAAAAATTTAATATAATACTATAGAAATATACTATAACAAATATTACAGTATGTAAATACATACATAACATATACATATAGATTCTTTCATATTTATATACATATACATATATACAGACATATATCTATGTAATTTATAAAAACAGTGTATGCTCATTGTAGAAAACATTTTGCATAGGTATATGATACCTGTGGCCATTTTATGTATATGTAGTAATACATGCACACACATGCACACACATACACATACATAAATGCGGTAGCCCACTATACTTATTTATTTGGGTTTATAGAGGTAGCAGTGATAACAATCCTCTCTTCTTCTTAGTTCTAAACTAATTAAAAAGCAGTCAAAAGCTGCAGAGTATTACTTGGGAAAGTCTGTGTCCCTCTCTTGCCGTAGAAAGGATGAAATTGCCATCCCCAGATGAGAAAGGCACAGGAACTAGCTCCACCCCTTTCCAGCCCATTGGTTACTCACTCCCAAGAGAGGAGGAGTAACTCATCTCACTGGTAGCCATGGGAAAAGGAAATGAACAAGGGAAGCATTCTCTCCAGCCATGGCATGGAGGCTGTCATTTTCTGTGTCTACCTGTGACTGAGTACCCCAGTTTAGTGGGAGGGGTAGAAGTTCAAGGGCTGACAAAGAATATTAGGAAGCTGCTAGTTTGATCTCCAGTATCTGGCTCTGTCTCTCTGCCAGTTTCTACCTCCAGTTAGAAAGAAAGTAGGGATATTCTTTACTCCTTTATATGTCATTTGTAAGACCCAAATTACTATTCTATAATTTGCTTTTGCGCCTGAATATATTGAGAATACTTTCCCTGCCAGGAAATATCCTTTCTTCTATAACATCATTTTAATGATCATTCAGCATTTCCATTGTTTGATGTTCCATAACTTATTGAACCATTGTCCTATACTCAATAATCAGGTTTTTGAAAAATTATTGTTAGTGTAAATAATACAAACAGATAGCATTCTTTGTATACTGTTCTGTTCATTTCCTGAGGATACATTTCTTAAAAAAAAGAAAAAGAAAAGGCTGGCTGGGTCAACATATATGCACATTTGAAATATTTGTTATATACACTTTGAAGTTGTCATCCAGAAAGTTTGTGTCATTTCTGCTTCCTCTAGAAGTAAATGAGAATACCTGTTTCCTTGTACCTTTCCTAGATTTAAGGAATGGAACTAAAATACTATGCCACATTTTCCTTACTATGATTTTATACACTTTAGCTAGTGGGAAGAGCTACCGTGCACCCTTTGTCTGGGAGGCAGTTTCTTTGCCGTTTGCCCAAGTGTGAAATGCCATATTTCCTTAAGTCAAGTTACCTACTCTCTTGACATTACAAATATTAGCATTTTAAAACCTGTTTTCAAATTAAGACAAAAGCAAACATCACTGCTAATGTACATTTGAGGAAGGAGGGGGAAGAAACCATGGAAACCAGCAGAGGAATTAAAATGGCAACTAAGAATTAGACACCGGAATAGAACCAGCAGTGGGCTAGATGAGGATTATAATTGGAACCAATTTGACAGGAATTATAAGGTGTTCCTTTGCATTTTCTGATTTTGTTTTTTTTTTCTTTTGGTCATGCTTTGAAGAAGCCGTGATAAATCTTACTTCCACTATACTTTTGCTCTCATAAAACTCCTTGAAAATACCACAGGCTGTCCAACTACACACAAACACAGCTCATTTAGGCCACAGGATGGCACTCTGGGTGCATCCAAGTGATGAGGTGCCACACTCCCCCTAGAAATAAGGCTCTCTACCCCTTGGGAGACTGAGAGACACCACTCACAGCCTCACTAAAAGCCCAGCACCTATCCCTCGGAGGTACAGTGACTAACGTTTTATCCACTCAGAATGCCCTGGGCTTCTCTCAGATGTGCTTCTCTCCACATGTCAAACACTGGCGAAGCTCTCCCTAGAACACCTGGCCTCTTGGCCTCCTCACTTCCTTGGAGGCTACACTTACGGAAAGCTACAATATTCCTGCTGCTTCAGGAACACAGCTATATTTCTGGGACAAATACATCGGAAAACGCAGCCATTTAACTGCTTGTGGCTCACATGGTAAAACTGCATTTCCACATTGTTGATGCTTCCAGATACTCAAAATAGCCATCCTGTTTTTCTTTAAATATAATTAATATTCCACTGTGTGGGAGTTAGGTTAACACGTGTTAAATGAAGTGGTATGTAAATTACATAGAAACATTGTTTTTTCCACATTTGGACAATTGAGTTTGTCACTATTATGATAGTTATTATCATTATTATAATTTGCCATTAAAATGTGATGTAAAAAGAGAAATATCTTTAAGCTTAAATGTAAAGACCTCTGATGTAATCATCATAACATTAGAAGAACACATAAAGGATGACATAAGTTCTTGGCTAAACAAGGTACACTTGACTTAATCTTTAGTAAACTGCAAATAATAATAGAACAGATTTAGATTAAAATCACAGTAATGATTTTCACTCACAGAAAGGAAGAAGAAGGATTTCCCAGGCAAGGGCATGGGGCAAAAGATTAGGAGACAGTGTGGGTACAACATGGACCCCTGTCAAAGATTTCTGGAAAATAATTCTATATATGAAGTATGACAAAATAACAGAAAGCCTTGAAGGCCAATCTAAGGATTTTAGACTTGTCCTAGACACAGAATGAAGGAGGTGGGCAGAGATACTTTGTGAAGGAGAAACTATTTTGAGATCAATTGGATATCAATGCAGATAAAATTGGATCAGGGAGAAGGTAAGAGGAGAGGGGAAAATATAGAAGCACGGAGATGTGTTAGGAGGATGTTGCAACTGATTAATATCACAAGATCTCAAAAAAGGGTGGGGCAGAGGAAATGGAGACAAATCTGCAGTTTGGAGGGATACTGAGAGAAATATGCCCTGTCCAGAGGAGGTGACTAAGTGAAACTAGCAATGCAGCCTTCAAAATCACAGCTTCAGATAGCCTAGCATTTGAATACAACCACGCAGCCCACCAACTCACTACAACAATTCTTTGAGCTCATCTCCAAGGACTCATGTTTTTCTTTTTTCCCATGGCTCCCACCAATCTTCACTTCCCTTCCCTGCTCCACTAAAATAATGTCCTTCGAAATATCCTCAGTTCCCATGACCCGCAATTCCTAGGGTAAAATCCTGCAGGAACCTGACCAGCCATGAGGCCCCACTCACCCTCAGACTACATCAGTGCAGATAAACAATGATAGGGATTATTCAACCAGACAAAAGAGTATAGATGTAATTCACAATGCATTGCCTTAAATTTCCCAGAAATTTAACTACCTTTCTTCATTATGTTCCATCTCTAGTCTCAGCAACACTGGCAACCCCCTCCTTACTTTCATCTGATAATCTTGCCTCATTCTCTTTAAGAATCTCTAGAAGCTGTAAGATGCGAATTTTATCCCAAATCTAGAAGCCCTTTGTGTCTACACCCATCTTTTCCTACTCTTTTATTTCAATGGGAAAAAAAAAAACCTCAACATGTCCCAGCTGCTGTTAAATGTCAAACCATTTACATACGCACAGAATCTGAGCCCTACTCCTTCTGAAAGATTCTATTTTGCGTTTTTGGCCTCCTATTCTGTGATTTATATTTTTCGTCTACACACAAACATAATCTAGTCCAGATGACCACTGAACAGCATGGGAGTTAGAGGCCCTGACCCCATGCAGTTGAAAGTCTGTGTATTACTTTTGAATCCCCAGAAACTTAACTACAAATAGCCTACTGTTCACTGGAAGCCTTGCCAGTAACGTAGCTAATGAAGACATATTTTGTATGTTATATATATTACATACTGTATTCTTACAATAAAGCAAGAGAAAATAAAATGTCCTTAAGAAATCATAAAGAGGCGAAAATATATTTACTATTCATTAAGTGAAAGTGGATCATCATAAAGGTCTTCATCCTCATCATCTTCTCATAGAGTAGGCTGGAGAAGAGGAACAGGAGGGGTTGGTCTTGTTGTCTTAGGGGCAGCAGAGGAGGAAGAAAACCGAGGTATAAGTAACCCATGCAGTTCAAACCCATGTTCTTCAAAGGTCAACTGTATATCTCATTTATTTCATCATCAAAGGTTAATCAGTATTTACTACGTGTCAGGAGTTTTTCTATGAGTTAGGGGTACATCAATTAGAAAACCTAAACAGGCCAGGTGCAGTGGCTCATGCCTGTAATCCCAGCATTTTGGGAGGCCGAGGCAGACAGATCACCTGAGGTCAGGAGTTTGAGACCAGCCTGGCCAACATGGGGAAACCCCATCTCTACTAAAAATACAAAAATTAGCCTCATGTAGTGGTATGTGCCTGTAATTCTAGCTACTCAGGAGGCTGAGGCAGGAGAATCGCTTGAACCTGGGAGGCAGAGGTTGCAGTGAGCTGAGATCATGCCACTGCACTGCACTCTAGTCTGAGCGACAAGAGCAAAACTCCATCTCAAAAAAAAAAAAAAACAAAAAACAAAAAAAGAAAACAAAGAAAACCTAAACAAAAAAAACAAGCAAAGCAGACAAAAAATCCTGGCCCTCATGTAGTTCTAGACTGTGTAGGTGAGAATTTTAGTCTCATCTCAATATAAGTGAAAAATAAAAATAAACAATCCACTTCCATTATGATGCAATCTTCCTCAGCCATCAACCGTTACTCTATTACACTTCAGAGAAAAACGTCTTCAAAGAGTTGTGTACATATCATGTCTCCACTTTGTCATCTTGCAATCATTTTTCAAATCACTCCAATCTTGCTCCTGTTCCCATCGCTCCACTAAAACTGCTCCAGCTCAGGCCTCAAAAGATACCCATGTTGCCAAATCCAACAATTGCTCTTCAGTCCTCATCTCATTCAACCCCTTGGCAACATTGAACCATGTCATCAATCCTTTCTTTGTGAAGCACCCTTCTCTTGAGTCGTGTTATACCACATTCTTGCTGGAATCCTTTCAGTTCCTTGATTATATCGTACGTGATTCTCAGTGTGCAATGTTCATCCTCTCTCTTTGCCTGTCTGCCTCTCTGCCTCCTTCTGCTCTTCAGGACTTAGCTTGTCACTTCTTCAGAGAACTCTTGCTTATCCACCCAATTTAATAGGAACTTCATTTTGACTCCATCTTTCACAATACCCTATATATTGCTTCCAGAGCATTTGTCAGAATTTGTAACCCTATAAGTATGTGCAAGTTTGTTTAGTGTTTGTAAGGAACAAGACTTTTTTTTCTATTATTGCATGCCATTGTTTTACTTCTAACCCGCCTGACTATGCTGTATATACAATTATATACCTAGTGCCCAGTATATAGTACAGGCTTCGTAAATAGTAGCTGAATGAATGAACTAGGTATTTTGCTCACTATATTATATCAGGTTTGGGGTGTGAATGAGACAGGATCAAAAGTAATGCTTTGTTTTATGGAGCAGATAATAAGGAAAATGTAAACGCAATTTGGAATTGGATTTACTCTAAAGGGAAAGGTGGTGATCTATTTTGGGAATATTAGTTTTGAGCTATCACTAGAACATGTAAAGAAAAGATACAGCACAATGATGGAGATATGCTTTTATAGACACTGTGGCTACTCCTCACCATCCACCCTACCTGTTTCCCATTTTGTGGAAGAGGAATTGGCTCAAGAATGGACACGAGGCTTAGCCCAATGCAAGGAGACATGAGGAGAAGGTTTCTTAAGACATTCGGGAAATTTTTCTTGTTCTAAGAACAAAAGAAGAACTGCATACTTTCTCCTGCTGAACATGAAGAAGGTAGCACATATTCCTGATTGCTGCTGTCCACTATTTCATGCACTGCCAAAGTAAAGCCAAGCATAGGATAAAGCCAATACATGGACAGAAAAACCAAAACGTGAAAAGACGTTGGAAAAGGACCTGGCTGCCCAGTGACATTATAGATGGCTGGGTCAACGCACCCTGAAGCTCCTTAACTCTGCTCTTTTCTGTTATCAGCCAATAAATCTATTGATTGGCTACTTAGAGTTGGGCTGTCTGTTTTCTTTTTCCTCTTTTTTAGTGGAAACCTTTTTTTAACTTAACTGATACACATGAGGTAAAAGATCGGCAGAATGAGTGGAATTAAAAAAAATAAGAAAGCTTGCTGAAGGAGTTATATCATTAAAAAGAAATGGGGGACTCAAACAACAACAACAGGTGGGCAAATATTATCTCTAAAGAAATGGTTAATAATTAGAAAGAATCAGTATAAACACGGACAAACAGAGCAAAAAAAAAAAAGGCCACCTACCAAAGTCACTTTGTTGTCTCCTCCTGTTCTTTAGAGGAATGATGCTGTTCATATTATTTAGTCATGTCAGCACAAGAATACTTAAGGGGAGCCCCAGTATCAGAAAATACAAGCTTATGAAAAAGTATTTTTAGGAAAACTTCAATAAAATCCCAGTAAAGGCTATTTAAAAAAAGGCTGGGCATAATGGCTCACGCCAGTAATCCCAGCACTTTGGGAGGCCGAGGCAGGCAGATCACCTGAGGTCAGGAGTTGGAGACCAGCCTGACCAACATGGAAGAACCCTGTCTCTACTAAAAATACAAAAAAGTAGCCGAGCATGGTGGCGCGTGCCTGTCATCCCAGCTACTTGGGAGATTGAGGCAGGAGAATCGCTTGAATCTGGGAGGCAGAGGTTGCGGTTAGCTGAGATCACGCCATTGCACTCCAGCCTGGGCAACAAGAGCAAAACTCCATCTCAAAATAAATAAATAAACAACAATATAAAAAGTTTATTAATTTATCCATGAATAAATATAATTTTAAATGTATTTCTCAACTGTTTCTTCATTTATTGAGAGATGTTCTTTATTTTAGGCACTGTTCTAGTACTGAGTACAAGCAAACACATCTGCTTTCAAATTATCCACAGACTACTAGTGGGGGAGGAAGTCTAGTAAAAGGTACCTCGTTGGTGTGATTCATTCTGGGATAAACATAGGTACCCAGTTCCGACACTATGGCAACCGTATAATTCAATGTTAATGTAGCTGGACTATTGAGGTGAATGGGCTATGTTAGGTGTCTTGGAGGAAACAGTGCCTGAACTGCTAATGAAGAAATGGGGTAGTCAGGACAAGAAGAAAACATGTTCTTGATAGAAAGAACAGCCCCAGAGAAATGAAGAATGTATAAACATAGCACTGGAGTTGGAAGTGTGATTCTTGTGCCCTGAACTGTATTTATGGCTCTCTGAAACTAGTTGGTTTGAAATAATGTCTCATCAGTCTACAGAAGGTCAAATCAACACAGTCCAAATTAGGAACTAAATGAAAAGTGTCTATTAGCCATGACATTCGACATTATAACTTATAGTTAGATAAATGAACATGACAAGGCACTCTTCAAAGATACCTTGGAGAGACCAGATCTTTCTGTAGTGATTTTTAAAGACAAGTGAATCTTATTGTTGTTTTGGGGGATTTATTTCGTCTGCTGATACAAAGACCTATAGACCCAGACACATAAGGAATGTTGCTCTATTTACGAACCAAGTATGCAAATACTGCTATCTAATCATATTTTATACACCTCAATGCAATGCTCAGTAGGTCCCAGGAAAGGCTTTGCTAAAGCAGTATCTGTTCATAAGCAAATAGCTTATGTTTCTTATTTTCTAAAATAAAGCCCAAAGCAACTTTAATCTATGATCAAGAACATCTCTTCCTGATCAGTGAAGAAAGATCATACAAATTGACTATTTCTTACTCTTTACAGGCTTCTGATATATGGATTCAGGCAATCAGCTAAGTTCCATTTCTTACTATTTTATTTGCTTTTTTTTTTTTTTTTTTTGCATCTCCTGTATTACAAGGACAGAAGGCCAACTTATCTAGTCATTCCACAGAAGAATGCATATGTTTAAAAGCACATGTGCTCTGTGCATACAAACATGGGTAGAACCTAGCAGGCTTGTCCCGCAAATCTCAGAGGCTGTAGAACTCACAATGTCCCTCAATACCTAATCTTGTCATTCACATATTTTGATTTTGAGAACACTCTCTCTTAGGTCTAATCCAAGCCTATCTTCATGGAGAGAGAATTAATTTAGTTCCAGGGGAGAAGCAGGAAATACTCTATGTGGCAAGATTTGAGGCTTCATAACTAGTTCTTCAGCCTCAAAATGTCTCTTCTATTGATATTTCATAAGACCTGAGATCTATTGATTGTATGATACATTACTGTATAATGACTAAGTAATAAAAATGTTGTCAATCACATTATAGCCTAATGTTTATCATTTAATGTTAAAAACTTATTGAAAGATCTCATAAGACTCATTTAGACATAAATTTTAATTGTATAACGCTCTTATGGAAAATATAAACAGAATACATTGCTAAAAGTTCTTCATATTAGGAATCCAACCCTTCTGAATCATTATCTTTGACTCAGAGTCATTAATGTCTGTACATTCCATACATTCTGAGCTGGAGAGTTGGTGATGCAGCACTTCTTTTTTTTTTTTTTTTTTTTTTTTGAGACAGAGTCTCACTCTGTCGCCCAGGCTGGAATGGAGTGGCATGATCTTGGCTCACTGCAACCTCCACCTCCTGGGTTCAAGCAATTCTCTGGCTCAGCCTCCTGAGTAGCTGGGATTACAGGCGTGTGCCACCACGCCCAGCTAATTTTTGTGTTTTTAGTAGAGAAGGGGTTTCACCATCTTGGCCAGGCTGGTCTTGAACTCCTGACCTCATGATCCACCCACCTCGGCCTCCCAAAGTGCTGGGATTAGGCGTGAGCCATCGGGCCCCGCCCACAGCACTTCTTAAAATAGTATTTGTTCTCCTATCATCTTGGTGATTTTCCTCCAAGCTGCTGACATTCATTCTGTATGCTGACACTTACGCTTTCTTGATCTTATGAGAAGGCTTAAATGGAAGATTATCAGACAACAAGTAGGACAATATTCTTTCTTTTAAAGAACATTCTTTTAAATGTTCATTAAACATCATTGTTTCATATAAAAGCAAATGATATTTAAGTTCAACATATTTTACCAATAATGTACATGACACCATGGAAGTTTTGGCCAGATGTGTACATGTGTAGTCAATAACAACTCCAATACAATGCTCTTTAGCCAGGAGTGATTGAATGTGGCCAGCAAGTATTCCACAGGTGTCAACAAGTGAAAAATATATAACATGCCCTAAAATTGATGAAATATGAATATTCCAAATGCAAGACATTTACTAATTTATGTTTTATTTATTCAGTCATTAAAGAATTGTATCATTGAGGGCCTACCATGTGTCAGGCACTTGGATAAGGGTCATGAAGTAATAAAAGAGACGAACTGGTTTCTCCAGGCACAGACATACAGGTGCGCGGATCAAAATTACATACTGCTATAGAGTTTATGGTCTGACAGAAAACAGGGGTTCCTAGCTTCTTACAAGATATTTGTTGATCCAGAAAATCCCCAGGAATTGCAAGAGAAACTTCTGATATTCTGCCAAGATGCCATCTGCACCTAAGAGGAGATGTTTCTGACAATAAATATAGACATTTACCTTGGATAACATTTACTTAGGAAAAAGAAAGAACAGACACAAACTAAGTGAAACAAGACTTTCTTGTTTTCAGATTGAAAAAAAAAAAAAAAGGTATAGAAGTAGAGACAGGCTGAGTGGAAGAAATGTGGTCAGCCAGCCAGTGGTATGGAAAAGAACAGAAAGAAAGAATATATTCTTGTTAGATCTTTGCTTTCCCTTTGATACCGTGGATGTTCTACTGACTCCCATGAGCTTCCAATTCCATAACTTGCTTGCCTAGATCTAGGTATGGACCACTCAATCCTCACCTTATGCACATTCCCAGATTCAGCCCTCCTGCGGCCTTCCCTGTTGTTCACATCTTTTATCAGGGGACCACCACATGAACCATTTGAAGGATCTAGAAGACTTCTAAGATTTAATCTAAAAGTTAGGTTGTTTTAGAAACAGAAAAAGTAGGACCCAGAGACAAAATCCAAGTTGCCTGAGAACACTCAGCTTTCTTCCTGTTATACATTCTCCTTTGACACTGGAGCCACTCAGTGACCTTCAGCCCTTAATTCAATGATAGGAATCACTTTCTCAGAGGTTACTTCAAGCTGGCTGCATTTTGTTTTTTATACTAGAAATGATAGTAGCTGTCCAAAGAAGAAATACCTTCCATAAATTGTGGTTCTTTGAGTTGACCAGCTTAAAATACACGCACATACACACACAGAGACATGTATGAGTCCTATATATTAGGCATTATGCTTGGCATTAAGTGGATGAAACATAAAATTATGACTCTTCTTCTTAGAGCTCCCATGGCTCATTTAGACAGGAAGTCAGGCCAAAAGTTCATGCAATAATGGAGGTGTAGACAAGGTAATACACAGTACTTCCTTTGTTGATGAGAGTCAAAGATGATTTGGGATAGGAGGTGCTGCCTGAGTAGAGATTTTAAAACTAATTTGGAATTTGTGAGGTGGGAGGAAGGAAGGTTGGTAGAGTGAATATCTACCGATTATTGCCTATCCAGTCACCCTTCTTCCTGCCTGCAATAAAAGCAAACTCAATTCCCTAAGAGATCTGATCTCTTCCGAGCTCTTTATCCATGAGATTCATTCCACTGCTGACTCAGGGACCATGTATGCAACCTGGGTCTCACTCATCAAAGTATTCCACTGATCTGATCACAGTATTGGTTTCATGATGAATGCAAGATTTAAGGTAAGCTAATGAAACTTGAATCTGGGACTTTTATTACAACATTTGAGGAAAAGGTGGTCTTTTTCTGCTGGAGTTGCCCATGGGCTAGATGGTAGTTTAGAGAATTGGCAGCCATATTGTGACCATGAGGGAGAGCTGGTCTGAGAAAGGAGCCATTACAGAGAAAAGTAGAACAGACAGATGGAGAGACTGCGATCAATACCTGATAAAATCACTATAGCATTTGCATCCAACTGTGTGAAAAGATGTGATAATTTACCCTAAACTTTTCAGTTATGTGAGTAAAAATTTTTTTTTTCTAATAAAGCCAGATTGAATCGTTTTCTGTTGTTTCCATTTAAAGGACTCGTAATTGTGGGGAGTTGAGCTGCGCATGTGAGAACACAAATTTTGGGGAGCAAAAGGGCAGTGTTACAGGCTGAATTGTGTTCCCCCAAATTCATATGTTGAAGTCCTAGCCCCTACTCCCTAAGAATACGGCTGTATTTGGAGACAGGTGTTTAAAGAGGTAATTGAGGTTAAATGAGATAATTAGGAGGGACTCTAATCCAATGCAGCTGGTGTCCTTATTTTTAAAAAGGAGATTAGAACACAGACAAGCACAGAGGGATTACCATGTGAAGACAGGGGAAAAAGCCATCTGCAAGTCAAAGAGAGAGACCTCAGAAGAAACCAACCCTGCTGACACCATAATCTTGGACCTCTAGCTTCTGGAACTGCAAGGAAATACATTCCTACTGTTTTTAAGCCACTTGCTTTGTGGTACATTGTTATGGTCATCCTAGAGAACTAATATCTGCAGGTATTCCAGAGGAAAGATTGTCATGGATAAAGAAATAGGGGTGGCAAAGCAGTTACATTGAGAAGCAGTCATACACTGGAAACCATACAAGGTAGAGAGGAAACAGCATAAAGTATGCTCAAATTGATATAAAAAATGGAAGGGGGATATGTCATTTTCACCACATTTTTAAATGTTTCATTCTCTGTTCCATCATATATAATCTCTTTGCCCATGATGGAGGACAAGCCACAATGCTTAGTTTTTAAACATCATGACTCAAGTCTTCAAATTTCTATTTGTTTTGAAATGTATCAGAGACCTGCTTGTGCCAAATATAATCAACCTTTCCTGTATGTGTATGAAATCATCCTCATTCACAAGAGCCCCACAGTTGTGATGGGCAGAGTCTGATAAAAGTCAGACATTTTCAAGTTGACCTCTTCAAGTAGCCTGGCTTCTAAGAAATGGGTTACTGTTGATTTTTACTTCAAAATAGTATGTGGTTCTATTTTGTCTGTATACAGCAGAGTCCTGATGAAACAAAGCATAGTCTGGCCATTTAATAATTATGACCAAAAAATGCCTCAATTGTTGAACCTTCAAAAACCTCTCAGCCTCAAGGACACATTCTTCACTGTTACCATAAAGAAGTTCTTCAGCTCTGGCAGTTAGAGCGAAGAAGAGTAAAACATGAAGGATGAGCCAAAAGCTAGAGGAAGAGAAAAAAAGGACTTCCGTTAGAAAAAGAATTTTTAAAAATTGATTTGTTTCCCTTAGCCTGGGTGTGAGGGCTCATTACTGAATAAATTCTTCATGTTTCATCTGGATACACAAAGCCAGAGCTAGAGTTGGTAACTCGGGGGAACCAGTCTCCTGTGTTATTTCTAGCTCTCCACTTATTAAAGTTAGACCAATGTTATTTTCTCTGTACCGAGTTCTATCAGAGACATTTTAAAGTGCTTTTACTTGCTTGATGGAAAGCATCTGGGCATTGTTGAGTGTTTTCATGGATTTTTACCCATGCTCATAAAAAAACCATAAGGTTCTTTTTTTTATTATTTTCATCCTTTTTTAAAGCACCATTTCACTTTGAGCTGTGATCGTTTATTAATTTTCAGATCATTCTATAAATCCTGTTTTCCATATGAGCCTGTCATACATACATTGAGAATTTTGCAGAATTAAAAAAATTAGACATAATTTTCTTATACTCACTGATTCTAGATTTCAGTCTTGGCTGAGATATTTTTGTTGAGTCACTATAAAAACAACTCTTTCTAAATGGCTTTTATACTTAGGGGAAAAATGAAATCAAGTGCTTTTCTTATCATATTAAGTGAATACATTATATGTTAACAAGCATTTTCTTATTTTTATAATGGAAAAATTGTTAAGCACTATTTCACTCTCCCTAATTGTAATAAAGTAGATTTGCTTTTAGACTGAAATACAATAAACTCTCTGCTAAACAGCAGTCAACTCAAGATGGGTTGAAACCTGGTGAAAATACTGAACCCCTTCATAAATGGATGGAATTTTATAGATATGTAGGAGCTTTTTGCCCTTCCCCAAAAATATATATTTATAACTTGTTTCCTGCTTGATAGTTTTAGACACTGAGCTACACATGAAAAATTTTTAAAAAGAAGGGGGGCCGCTATCTTCCTAAAACCTCTAGCTACACATACAATGATATGGCCTTCATTTTAAAAGAAAGTTTGAGTACATATGCATAAGCAGCCAACCAGCTACAGTTATATTTTAGAAAACTGACTTTTAGGAAAATATTTATCTAATTCCTACACAAACAGCAAGGTCAGACTTTGCATTCCACTTCCTCTATCAGGCCTCCAACCCCAGAGCTCATAGTAATGATCTCCCTCCACGAAACTCAGAGTATTTATTGTTGCTGCCACTGATTTGGCACTTAGCATATGCTACCTGACACTGTTAATTATCTTTTTTATGTACATGTCCTGTCTGTCCAAGTAGTTGACTCTCCTTGACTGTAAAGGCAATATCTTAGAGTACTTTGTATCTCCAGCACATAGCAAATTGCTTTGCTAGAGTAGGTTTTAACATATGTTTTTGGGTAATGGTGGTGATGATGCAATAAAGGACAGCCGTTATTCAATTTACTCTGTGGCACTAAGGCAACTTGAAAACTCTCTGTTGTAACCTGACATAGAGCTTTGCATATAGTAGGAACTCAGCACATGTTTGGTAGATTTTAAGCAATTATTTTTTTCTGTTTGTATTAGTCTGTTCTCACACCGCTGTGAAGAAATACCCAAGACTGGGTAATTTATAAAGAAAAGAGGTTTAGGCTGGGCGTGGTGGCTCATGCCTGTAATCCCAGCACTGTGGGAGGCTGAGGCAGGCAGATCACAAGGTCAGGAGTTTGAGACAAGCCTGGACAACATGGGGAAACCCTGTCTCTACTAAAAATACAAAAATTAGCTAGCAGCAGTGGCAGGGGCCTGTAATCCCAGCTACACGGGAGGCTGAGGCAGGAGAATTGCTTGAACCTGGGAGGCAGAGGTTGCAGTGAGCCAAGATCACACCACTGCACTCTAGCCTAGGTGACAGAGTGAGACTCTGTCTTGGGAAAAAAAAAAAAGAAAGAAAAGAGGTTTAATGGACTCACAGTTGCTTGTTACTTTCACAGGCTGGCGTTTAGTGTTTTCAGCTTTTCCAGGTGCACAGTGCAAGCTGTTGGTGAATCGATCATTCTGGGGACTGGAGGACCGTGGCCATCTTCTCACAGCTCCACTAGGCAGTGCCCCAGTGGGGACTCTGTGTGGGGGCTCTGACCCTATATTTCCCTTCTGCACTGCCCTAGAAAAGGTTCTCCATGAGTGCTCCATCCTTGCAGGCAAGTTCTCCCTAGACATCTAGGTGTTTCCATACATCCTCTGAAATATAGGTGGAGGTTCCCAAACCTCAATTACTGACTTCTGTGCAACCACAGGTCTAATACCACCTGCAAGTCACCAATACTTGGGGCTTGAATCCTCTGAAGCAATGGCCTGAGCTGTACATTGGTCCCTTTAAGCCACAGCTGGCATGCAGGGCACCAAGTCCCAAAAATGCAGAAAGCAGAAAGGCCCGGGGCCGGCCCATAAAAACCATGGTTTCCTCCTAGGCCTCCAGGCCTGTGAAGATCTCTGACATGCCCTGGAGATATTTTCCCCATTGTCTTAACAATTAACATTTGGCTTCTCATTACTTATGCAAATTTCTACAGCTGGCTTGAATTTTCCTCAGAAAATGGGTTTTTCTTTTCTACTGCATTGTCAGGCTGCAATTTGTTGAACTTTTATGCTCTGCTCCCCTTTTAAGTATAAATTCCAATTCCAAACCTTATCTTTGTGAATACCTAAAACTGAATAATTTTAAGATCACCTGAATCACTTCTTGAATGCTTTGCTGCTTAGAAATTTCTTCTGCCAGATACCCTAAATCATCTCTCTTAAATTCAAAGTTCCAAAGATCTCTAGGGGAGGAGCAAAATGCTGCTAGTCTCCTTGCTAAAACATAGTAAGAGTTACCTTTATTCCAGTTCCCAACAAGTTCCTTATTTCCATGTGAGACCATCTGAGCCTGGACTTCATTGTCCATATCACTACCAGCATTTTGGTCAAAGCTATTCAACAAGTCTCTACGAAGTTCCAAACCTTCCCACATCTTCCTGTCTTCTTCTGAATCCTCCAAATTGTTCCACCCTCTGCCTATTACTGAGTTCCAAAGTCGCTTCCACATTTTCGGGTACCTTTGCTGCAGTGCTCCAGTCCCAGTACCAATTTACTGTATTATTCCATTCTCATGCTGCCATGAAGAAATACCTCAGACTGGTAATTTATTAAGAAACGAGGTTTAGTGGATTCACAGTTTTGCATGGCTGGGGAGGCCTCAGGAAACTTACAATCATGGCAGAAGGCACCTCTTCATGGGCAGCAGGAGAGAGAATGAGTGCAAGTGGTGGAAATGCCACAGTAATAAAACCATCAGATCTCAGGAGAACTCACTATCACCAGAACAGCAAGGGAGAAACTGCCCCCATGATTCAATTACTCCCACTGGGTCCCTTCCACTACAAGTGGGGATTATGGAATTATAATTCAAGACGAGATTTGGGTGGAGACACATAGCGTAACCATATCACTTTCCAAGTAAGCTGATGCTCAGCTTTTGAATAAGTTTACATTACATTTCTAATATACATTATATTCTAACAGATTCTTACTCATTAAGCACTTTTGTTGGTAGATCTCCATCCTGGCTTTGTATCAACATTGTCTCTGGTTCTTTAGAAAATGAGGAGGCCAGAGCTCCATCCTATCTCTAAAATACCAAAATTTGGGGGGATAAAATCCAACACTCAGCATTTTTAAAATGTATCTACTGATGATTCTGATGTGCAACTAGATTTGAAAGCCGTTAAAACTCCTACTCAGAGGAGGGGCTTCAAAATGGCTGATTAGAGGCATCTCTTACTCACCTCCTCCACTAAGAAGAACCAAAATAGTGACTGGATAATCACACTTCAAATAGATCATCCAAGAGAGAACACTGGAATCCAACAGAGAAGTGTCAGGAAACCCCTAAAACAAGGAAGGAGAGGGAAGCGAGGCAGCCTGTTTTGCTGGGATCAGCTGAGAATCAGGAAAGGCCCCCATTGCAGGGTAAGGTTTAGTAAGAGACCCCCAGCAGTCCACATTTCCACAGCAGACTCCTATAATCCTAGTCAGGTGAGAGCTCCTTGACCTTCCCAGGCCCTGAGACTAACATAGGGAATTCCCTGGAAACTGTTCAGAGACATTGCTCCAGAGAGAGAACTCATGCTGGGTCCTACAAGCCCCCGAGCCCTAAGCAGTGGCAGCACAGTGCCACTTTAAGAGCTCAGCTCACACCAGACTGCATTCTGCCCTGCAACTGGGCTGAGGCAGGAGCCACAAGAAGCAATCCTGCCCATCCTACCAAACAGAGGCTGCTACACATTCCCATATGCCCTGAGGACAAATTTCAGTGTCCATGACTGCTACAGCTGTGGAATGCTGTGGGCCAAGGCAAAAGTGAACCCAATGTCCTAGAAGCTGTCTTCCTAAAGCTGTTCCCAGGGAAACCAATCCTGCCCTCCCTTGTAGCAGGGCCTCAGCACATTTGCTATCACTTACACGTGAGCATTCCCTGACAGCCTGGGGCTCACCCCATCTTGGCATACCACAGCCAGGATCTATACACACCACCAGTGAACCTGCAAGCTCAGTCTGGCCTGGCTCTACATGACCCTAGTCCCTGAGCACCCATCCAGGAACATGGGGATGCTGAGCCCAGTCTACCCGCAGTGGCATCTGAAACTTCCCTTGGGCTCTGAGGTCAAGCCCACTCAATGTGCTGCTACCATCAGAGCTGGCACCCACTTGTACCTGCCACCTGCAGGTCTGGAAACCAGCCTGCTCAATCCTCCTCAGCCATTACCCTCAACATCAGCTTAGACTAGTTGGGTTTCAGAGGTTTGTTATACCATACCACTGTTATTTCCAGCACCTACACCACACCCACTGTGCAGTGTTCAGAACCTGCTCAGCCACCCAGCCCACCACTGTCATTCCTGTCACCTGAGCAAGCTATCTAGAGGACCAAGAATTGGTTTGCCTGGATCTGCTAAATTGGTGCCAGTGTATGCTGCCCTGTGGCCCAAGGACAGGCACAATTAGCCAACAACTGCCACCACTGGGGCCTGCAGACTGACCTATCTGGCATTCCAGCATCAGCAAAACTTTACCACAGCCTCCACTAATAACTATACCCTAAGTCACCAACAAAATCACGGACACCACTGATGCTGTTTACAGCTGAAGAAATCATACAGAGTCTACACCACTTCACACATCCAGATTCAAAGCCAAAGTGACATACCCAATGAACACAACAGATACATCTTCGGGTGGCGGGGGTGAAACTCCCTTATGGAATCAAATTTACAAAACTGGGGCCGGACGCGGTGGCTCACGCCTGTAATCCCAGCACTTTGGGAGGGCGAGGTGGGCGGATCACAAGGTCAGGAGATCGAGACCATCCTGTGAATGTTGAAACCCCGTCTCTACTAAAAATCCAAAAAGTAGCCGGGCGTGGTGGCGGGTACCTGTAGTCCCAGCTGCTCAGGAGGCTGAGGTGGGAGAATGGTGTGAACACAGGAGGCGGAGCTTGCAGTGAGCCGAGATTGCGCCACTGAACTCCAGCCTGGGCGACAGAGCGAGACTCCATCTCAAAAATAAAAAAAAATTGGAAGAAGTGACTGTTACACCAGACGTCCAGATTATTAATGTAAGGACACAGGAAACATGAAAAAAATTAAGGAAATATTGCACCTCTAAGAGAACACAATTCTCCAGCAACAGATCAGAACAAAAAGAAAGTCATGAAATCTCAAAAAAAATTCAAAATTTTGATGAAGAAGCTCAGTGAGATAAAAGACAATTCAGAAAAACAATACAAAGAAATCACAGAATAATTCAGGATATAAATGAGAAATTTGCCACAGAGATATACATCACAAAAAAGAACAAAAATATTCTGGAACTGAAGAACTTATTCAATGAAATACAAAATACATTTGAAAGTTTCAACAATAGACACGATCAAGCAGAAGAAAGAATCTCAGGCCAGGTGTGGTGGCTCATGCCTGTAATCCCAGCACTTTGGGAAGCTGAAATGGGCAGATCACTTGAGGTCAGGAGTTCGAGACCAGCCTGGCCATCATGGTGAAATCCCATCTCTACTAAAAATATAAAAATTAGCTATGCGTGGTGATGCACACCTGTAGTCCCCAGCTACCTGGGAAGCTGAGGCATGAGAATCACTTGAAGCCAGGAGGCAGAGGTTGCAGTTAGCCGAAATAATGCCATTGTACTTTAGCCTGGGTGACAGAGCAAGACTCAGTCAAAAAATAAAATAAAATAAAGAAGAAAAAGAAAGAATCTCAGAACTTGAAGACAGGTCTTTATAAATAACCCAGTCAGACAGAAATAAAGAAAAAAAATAAAAAAGAATGAGCAAAGATTTTGTGACATATGGGACACCATAAAACAACTAAGTGTACAAATTACTGATGTCTCAGTTGTAAAGAGAGAATGAAAGGGTTGGAAAACCTATTTAATGAAATAGTAGAAGTAAACTTCCCAAGTTTAGCAAGACATTTAGACATCCAGATACAGCAGGCTCAGAGATCATTAAATACATACAAAGCAAAAAGATCTTCTTCATGGCACATTACAGTCAAACTCTAATGTCAAAGACAAAGAGAAATCTAAAACAGTAAGAGAAAAGCCTTTCTTCACCTATAAAGAAACGCCCATCAGAGCAAAAGTGGATTTCTTCATAGAAACCTTACAGACCAGGAAAGAATGGGATGATATATTCAAAGTGCTGAGAGAAAAAAAATTTACCCAGGGATACTATATCCAGCAAAAGTATCCCTCATAAATGAAGGAGAAATAAAGTCTTTCCCAAACAAGTAAAGACCGAGGGAATTCATTTCCATTAGACTGGCCCTACAAGAAACGCTCAAGAGGGTTTTAAACTCAGAAGTGCAAGGATGACATTTACAATCATGAAAACACACAAAAGTATAAAACTTACTGATAAACCAAACACACAAATAAGAAACAGAAAGGACTCAAATGGTACCACTACAAAAATCCACCAAACTACTATAACAAACTAAGAGAAAAATAAAGGAACAAAGAATGTATGAAAGAACTAGAAAACAATGAACAATATAACAGGAAAAAAACCACACTTATCAACAATAACCTTCAACATAAATTGAAAATATTCTCAACTTAAAAGATATAGACTCGCTGAATGAATAAAAAAAATTATCCAACTGTATGCTGTCTACAAGAAATGCACTCACAGTAAAGAGATGGAAAAAGATATTCAATGCAAATAGAAACGAAAAGACAGCAAGAGCAGCTATACTTAAAACAGACTTTAAGTTATAAACAGTAATATATTTACATTATATATATACACACATATATATACATATATATGGTGACTATATAATGATAGAGATCAATCCAGCAAGAGGATCTAATAATCCTAAATGTTTATGCACCCAACATTGGAGCACCCAGATTCATAAAACAAATGTCACTAGATCTAAAGAAAGAAATAAATCTCACTGCAAAAATAGTGGGGAACTTCAATATCTGACTTACAACATTAGGCGGATAATTTAGACAGAAAATTAACAGAGAAACATTGGATTTAAAGTAGATTTTGGACCAAATGAACCTAACAGACATTTATAGAACATTTTATTCAGCAACTGCAAAATATACATCTTCTCATCAGCACATGAAACATTCTCCAGGATAGAACATATGTTAGCCCACAAAACAAGCCTCAACAAATTTTTTTAAATCTCCCACAAAACAAGCTTTGACAAGTTTTTTAAAATCAGTACTTGACATATCAAGTATCTTCTCAGACTTGGAATAAAACTAGAAATCAATACCAAGAGGAACTCTAGAAACTATACAAGCACATGGATACTAAACAACATGTTCCTGAATAACTGTTTGGTCAATGAAAAAATTAAGAGGAAGTCAAAAAGTTTCTCAGAACAAATGAAAATGGAAATATACCATACCAAAATCTGTGGGTTAGGGCAAAAGAATTGCTAAGAGAAAAGGCTAAATGCCTACATCAAAAAAGTAGGGATATTGCAAATTTAAAATGTAACAATGCACCTCAAGGAACTAGAAAAGGAAGAATAAACCAAACCCAAAATTAGAAGAAGAAATTTTAAAAAGAAGATCAGAGCAGAATTAATCAAAATAGAGACTAAAAATCAATACAAATGATCAAAAAAGTGAAAAGTTTTTTGAAAAGATAAACAAAATTGATATACTGCAGCTAGACTAACCAAGAAAAGAAGACCCAAATAAACAAAATCATAAATCAAAAAGGATGCATTACAACTGATACAACAAAAATACAAAAGATCATTAGACACTATTATGAACAACTATTTGCTAGTAAACTAGAAAACCTAGAGGAAACAAATAAATTCCTGGAAACATAAAACCTACCAAGTTCGAATCAGGAAGAAACAGAAAACCTAAACAGACCAATAGCAAGTAGCAAGATTGAATCATTCACAAAAAGTCTCTAAACAAAGAAAAGCCAAGGACTGGATACATTCACTAATGAATTCTACCAAATGAATAAAGAAGAAAGAAAACCAATCCTTCTCAAACTATTCAAAAAAATTTAAGAGAAAGAAATTCTTCCTAACTATTCTATGAGGCCAGCATTACCCTGATACCAAACCCAGACAAGAACATAACAAAAAATAAAAACTACAGGCCATTATCCCTGATGAACATAGAACCAAACAATTCTCAACAAAATATTAGCAAACTGAATCCAATAGCACATCAACAAGATAACTAATCATGATCAATTGGAATTTATCCCAGGGATTCAAGGATGGTCTAACATATGCAAATCAATAAACTTAATACATCACATCAACAGAATGAAGGATAGAAACTATATGATTATCTCAACAGCTGCAGAAAAAGCATTTGACAAAACACAACATCGCTTCATAATAAAAACCTTCAACAAACTAGGCATTAAACGAACATACCTCAAAATAATAAAGAACATGTATGAAAAACCCAGAGCTAACACTATACTGAATGGGAGAAAGTTGAAAGCTTTTCCTCTAAGAACTGTACCAAGACAAGAATGCCCACTTTCACCACTCCAATTCAACACAGTGCTATAAGCCCTAAAAGGCATTGAAATTGGAAAATATGTTGTCCCTCTTTACAGATGACCCAATCTTACATTGAGAAAAATCAAAACACTCTACCAAATACTCTTAGAACTGATATACAAATTTAGTAAAGTTGCAGGATACACAATAAACATACAAAAATCAATAGCATTTCTATACACCAAAAATAAAATAGATGAAACAGAAATTAGGAAGGCAATCCCAATTATATAAGCCATGAAAAATAATAAAATACTTAGGAATAAATTTAACCAAAGAGGTGAAAGATCGCCACAAGGAAAACTATAAGGCACTGATGAAATAAATTGAAGAGGACACAGAATAATGGAAAGACATCCCATGCCTATGGATTAGAACAATTAATATTGTTAAAACTACCATACTGCTCAAAGCAGTCTATAGATTCAATGTAATATCTATCAAAATACTAATATAATTTTTCACAGAAAAATTTTCACAGAAATAAAAAAAATCCTAAAGTTTGTACTGAACAAAAATAAATAGCCAGAATAGCCAAAGTAATCCTGAGTAAAAAGAACAAGGCTAGAGACATCACACTACCAGGCTCCCAAGTATATCACAAGGCTATAGTAAACAAAACAGCATGATGTTGGTATTAACATAGACTCATAAACCAACGGAACAGAGTAGAAAATGCAGAAATAAGCCCACATACTTACAGCCAGCTGATCTTTGACAAAGTCATCAAAAACAGATATTGCGGAAAGAACACCTTCTTCAATAAATGATGTTGGGAAACTCAATAATCATATGCAGAATAATGAGACTCAACACCTATCTCTCACCCCGTCCAGCAATCAACTCAAGATAGATTAAAGACTTAAATTCAGACCCAAAACAATAAAGCCACTAGATGAAAACAGAAAAAACTATTCAGGATATTGGTCTAGACAAGTGCTTTATGCCTATGACCTCAAAAGCACAGACAACAAAAACATAAACAGATAAATGGGACTATATTCAGCTAGAAAGCTTCTGCACGGCAAAAGAAACAATCAACAGAGTGAAGAGGTAACCTTTTGAAAAGGAGAAAAAATTTGTGAACTACTCATCCAACAGGGAATGAATATCCAGAATATACAAGGAACTCAAACAACACAAACATACAAAAACAAATAATCCCATTAAAAAGCGGGGCAAAGAACATGATAGACATTTCTCAATAGGAGGCATACAAATGGCCAACAGGTATATGACAAAATGCTCAAAATCACTAATCATCAGGGAAATGTGAATCAAAACCACAAAGAGATATTATCTTACACTAGTCAAAATAGCTACTATTAAAAAATGACAACAAATATCAGATGTTGGCAAGTTTGTGGGGAAAAGGGAACATATACACCATTGATGAGAATGTAAATTAGTACAGCCACTATGGAAAACAGTATGGAGATTTCTCAAAAAACTAAAAATAGAGCTACCATACAATCGAGCAATGCCACTACTGGATATTTATTCAGAGGAAAATAAATCAATATATCAAAAGGACGCCAGCATGTTTATTGCAGCAGTATTTGTAATAGCAAAGGTTTGGAATCAAGCTAAGTGAGTATCCATAAGTGGATAAATAGGTAAAGAAAACCTGGCACATAAACACAATGGAACATTATCTGGCCATTAAAAAAGAATGAAATCATGCCATTTGCAGCAACATGGATAAAACCAGAGGTCATTATGTTAAGTGAAGCAAGTCAGGCACAGAAAGACAAATATTGTGTGTTCCCGCTCATATGTGGGAGCTACAAAAGTTGATCACATGGAATTAGAAAGTGTAATGATAGATACAGAGACTGAGAAGGGTGTATGGGGGTGGGGGTCGGGGGAGTTAACCAGAGGCTGTTTAATGGGTACAAACAAACAAGTTGATAGAAGGAATAAAAGTTCTAATGATCCAAGGAAGAGTAGGGTGTCTATAGTTAACAACAATGTATCGTATCTTTCAAAGTAGCTAGAAATGGGTACCGGAAATGTACCCAACAAATAGAAATGATAAATACTTGGGTGATGGACACTCTTAAGTACATGGGCTTGATCATTACACATTTTTTGCATGTAACAAAATTTCACAAGCACCCCATGAATATGTAAAAATATGTCAAAAAATTTTAATCTACTTAGAATAAAAAAAATCCTATTGAAAGACTATTCTCTTCCTAATATCTAGCCTTATTTTTCCCTTTCTAAACTTTTTCTAAAATTCACATGTACTTTAAATTATAAATGAAATAATGGCATGCACATAGAAAGGACATCAAATGGCTATATTTTATGTGTGTGTTCATATATCTGCATTTTTCATTTCCCATATTTTTTGCAAAAATTTGAAGCAGCTTTTGCAATGTTTTTAGAATACAATAAACAATTGTAGGAAATTGAAGCTGAGTGAACATAAACAGCAACAGAGAGGCATGAAGGTCATCTTTGCGAACTGGGATGTAAACAGTTCTGGTCAAAGCTTAAGGTAGACTATAAATTTATTGTGCATGTTTCCGAGCAGCCAAAGAAAAGAGAGAATCATAGGTGCTGTACAGTGTCCATAAATAAAAGTGATTCATTTTTCCAGACACTGATTAATCTTTATAAAGAAGAAAACTATTAGCTGTGATAGGCAATGTCCTCCTCTAAGTCATTGTATCTAACAATGTATTTTATGTCATTATTTCTAAAAGTTTACATCAGTGCAGTCTGATAACATGATAATAAATCACAATTTGCAAAGGCAATTCTACGTGGAACCAAAACTGTGCAATGCAAAACTGAGCTAAGTTTTAGAGAAAGAGGCCCTTTTGGGAGTCTTCTATAGATAGTACTTCTGACCATTGCGTTTTGGATAATAATTTATAAAAAGTTTAAGGTTGTATTCAAACACAAGAGCCTGGTGTGTCAACATCCTCCATTGCATATGTGAAGGCAGATTCATTTGCTTGGCCATCATCTGTGCAGAGGGATCATCCTGATCTTTTTATCACAAATACAAATCTAAATTAAGGCACGTGCTTTGAGATGCTGAAATTCCATTTCTAGTGGCAACTGAAAAAAGTCCCTTTCAGCTGGGCCAATTTTTTTCTAAGGAAACAGTTCTTAGTCAGCTTTAACACTGGGATAAATAGTATTTATTGCATAATCTCAAACGACGTAGAATTGAGCTATGCGGCAAATTTTTCCTTAAATATGAAATATCAATAAATATTCCACTGCATTTGCTGTACTCATCAGTCTTTCAAATAGAAGTCTATAGGCAATGGTCACCTTCAACTTACCTACAATAACTAGCCATGTTGTATATATCTGTCTTTAACGAGTACATTTAATCTGAGATATTAAACCAAAAGTACTGAATTTGGATGCAGAAAGAAGATAAGTTATAAAGCAGAAGATTCCTGGAGCGCTGAATTTCTACCTCCCACTCCTCACTGGTTGCATGGCCTTGAACAAATACATCTTTCTTCAGGTGCAAAGTTAGTGTTTTACTATATTTCAATGTGTTGCTTAGCATCCTTGCTAAAATTAAACATGTGAATGTCACTGAAGTTTTTTGGTATTCTATAAATTGCTTGCTACTTGCAGGTATTTGTTTTTCCTTGGATTCCTTAAAAATATCACTACTATAGGGATTAGCTCAAGAAAAAAACTAAACTGTCAAGAGTCAATGGAAAGCAGCCATCCACAGGTTCCCACACACATAGGAGACCTCATTTTCTCTTTACCTGCTTTTGCACATGAGTATTGTATTGGCTCTATTTTCATAGTACTAACCTTACTAGGTCAGTTCTGGGTATAAAGCACAAAAAATGTCACTTCAGTATCCAAACTCCAAAACATTCATTTCATTGCTTTTCTCTTCATTTGCCATATCTGCTTATTCACCACATGCTTACCATTTACTTTGGGGCTTACAGGCAGTCACTTCCACATTTGCCCTTCCAATTCATTTCCATGACTAGACTATAAGCCCCCAAAAGGCAGGGACCATATCCATCGGCATCACGGCTGCATCCCCAAACCCTTATAAAGTGTTTGATACAGCCAGGTGCGGTGGTTCATGCCTGTAATCCCAGCACTTTGGGAGGCCAAGGTGTGCGGATCACCTGAGATCAAGAGTTTGAGACCAGCCTAGTCAATATGGTGAAAGCCCATTTCTACCAAAAATACAAAAAATTAGCTGAGCATGGTGGTAGGCTCCTGTAATTCCAGCTACTTGGGAGGCTGAGGCAGGGGAATCGCTTGAACCCAGGAGGCGGAGGTTGCAGTGAGCTGACATTGAGCCACTGCACTCCAGCCTGGGTGCAACAGAGTGAGACTCTGTCTTAAAAAAAAAAAAATGTGTATGATACACAGAGGGCATTCAATAAAGAGCTGTGACTGAGGTTCTTATTCACTTGTTTATTTATTAGATTAGTATTATCATCCTCATCTTTCAGACAAAGAAATTAAGAGTCCAAGAGATGATGTAATTTGCCTAAGGTAACAAAGCTGACATGCAGCAGGGCTGAGATTTGAATACAGTCCTCTCCGGCCCTTATGATTGCGCTACCAGTCATGCACCTATACGTGATGCAGAAACTCTTTAAGAACATAGGTGCCCCTTGCAGCTCAGTGCTTCAGGTATCACACATTGATTCTTATTTGGGATCTAATAATCTAATAGGTTTATTATACATGTGAGCAGTAAAATAAAATGAGCTATGTCCTTGTTTTGGCTTATAAAATACACAGTTTAAAATAATTTAAAATTTTACATCGTCTACTGTATTGTGGAAATATCCACAAGTTGGGTTCTTAGCTTCCTTGTGACCAAAAGAAAGAGGCTAACACTATTGGCTATAGGAATCATAGTGTCTATAAGTGCCAAAAACGAACAAACACACAAACTAAAAACCTTGAGTTCTTAATGGAAGGATTTAGTCTCATACCAAGACTTAAGAGTCTCCTCCCAAGAGGATACCTCTTAAGAAAGAGGTATCTTCTAAGGCCTCTTTTGCAGCACTGACTTTTGGGGAAACAAATGTTGGTGTCAGTACCAGTATAGTTCAAAGGGCCAGCAAATATCTATCTGACCCAAACCCTTGCACTGCGGAGGCCTGGTCCATTTAGAGGTGTGGTTCTCTTCTGTATATACTCAAATCATATCTCCTTTGTGTGGAAAAATAAGATTTCATGCACAATCAAGTTTATCTACCTCAAATCAATAACAGCATTAAAACAGATATAAAAGAAATACAGTTAACCAATTTAAATATTATTGAAAGTCTTGTAGAACTACAGATATGCTGAATGTGAAATTTCCTAGTTGAAAGGTGTGTTGAAAGCGTTTCAGGCAACACTAGAATGCTTTCAAACGATGTGCAGCCACTTATGAAAACTATTCAGGTGCTTTCCCTAATCTGAAAGGGAGTGCTTTTTCATAGCATTAGTTTTATAATGAGCCTTTTCAGGCAAATTTCAAAGGGTGCATGGTTCACATACTTTAAACTAAATTCACTCATAATTTAGCATCCAACAAAAGCTAATGCTTAATTGTCTCTAAAGAGGCTATAGAAGGAAAACATTTTCCTTATTCACAAACATAGGGCTAAACAGTGGAGCTTCCCTCCATTAACATCCCTCCCTAATTTTCATAAGAACAATGGCCCTGTAAAGAGCTGGTCACAAGGAGGCTGAGACTCCCTGGCTTTGCACAGTATTGCCTGTTAGCACTGGTCTGATCACCCTCAGGGGTAACAACTTCAACAGGGAGGCTAGAAGGGATCAAGATTTGTAGTATCTGTTAACATAGGGGTATCCACGTTTTGTTTGTTTTGTTTGGTTGGTTTTGTTTTGCTTGTTTGTTTGTTTGTTTGTTTGTTTGTTTTGAAATTGGGTCTCACCCTATCATTCAAGCTGGAGCACAATGGCGCCATCATAGCTCACTGCAGCCTGGGACTCCTGGGCTCAAGTGATCCTCCCATCTCAGCCTTCCAAAACGCTAGGATTACAGGCATGAGCCTCTATGCCCTGCATATCCAACAGTTTACTATTGGCTGAGGACTTGAGAAATGTTATTTCAATTTGTTGAGCCCCACCTAACTTCTTCAATCTCAAAGAGAAGAGGCTGTGTTTCTGATTTGACAGACAGTTAATTATCTGATTTGATGTACAGTGATTAATAGCACAGACAGACCCAAAAAAGCCAGAGGATTGGCTTTACAATCTTTGCTACTTCCTATGTGACATTGGGCAAGTAAATTCAATTCTCTGTGCCTCAACTGGCTCATCTGTAAAACAGGAATAATTAGAGTGCAATTCTTCTAGGACCACAATGAGTATTGAAGAAGTTCATATACATCAAGAACTGAAAACGATACCCTTGTTTTGCCTAAGGAAGTCCTATGTGTATCTTAATTACCATTATACTTCTCATTATTATTACATTCTTCCCAACTGTCACATTTTGGGTCTCTTGGAAAAGCAACAAGTTGTTTTCTTTTATTCATTTATTTTTTCTTTTCTTGTGTGTCTTTCATTTAGTAACACCCCTGGAAAGATCTTCAGATGCTTCATTTTTCCTTTCATGCTAGAACTTTGCCAAGCTGTTAAGGCACAAATGTCTTTTGAGATGTGTGGAGTTGGAGAGAGGGGATCCTTTTAAACAACTGAAACCCAGAAGACGGCAGCTCCCTCACAAGATAGCATGTTAAAATACAATGTTTGGAGAAAGCCCTTATGAAAACACAAAAACTTTTTGAGCCTACCTAATTCTGAGAAAAGTGTAGAAATAAGCAACCAGGAGGGGAAAAAAAATTTAAAAATTAAAAAAATTCCCGCTCTCATAAAGCTTTTAAATTCTCAAGCAATATTCATAATTGTGACACTTGGCACAATTTGATAGGATCTTATATTGATTCTCAGATTTTAAGACAACAATCATTACATTATTATCTTCAGCCTAAGCAGTGCAGCATAACCTCCTAATTAGGATAAAAAACAGAGCCAGGAGCAACCCCGGCAAGTCACAACAAGTCAATATTTTTAATAAGGATTAATTAAAAAAAACTCTACAAGGTTGTATTAGAGGCAGTTCTGGCATGTCTATTGATTAACAGTTGGCATTACATCTCATAAAGGGCTCATTATGGAAAGCATCAATCTCAGTGCGATGTTTTACCCCTCTTAAATACTATTGATTTGTTTTGATGTGTTTTTTTAAGCACAGTTTGGGAACTGTGAAGATTGAGACCTGGGTCCTGCAATAGCATTGTGCATCACATGGAGGGGACATCCAATAGAAATGGCAAAGAGGACTAATATCTTCTGTTTCGTCTCATAGTCGGCTTCTATGGACTTCCAAGGCTGGCAGAGGAAACCTGCTCGTCCACCTTCTCCACTCACCTCTCTTTCTTTTATATATATATATCTGTCTCACATATCACATATATTATATATATATATATATATATATCACTCATTACATATATATTATCATTTTATATATATAGGAGGTTCATATGCAAATAAACAATGCCATTTGGAAACCACTTCCATTGCCCTTCCAAACACTGCAGCGCTAGGAATCTGCAGGAAGATAGCACAGCTCGGCCACAGGTGCCTGCAGCTTATGAATATGCAGCTCTGACATTTGAAACTCTTCAGCAGATTTCACAACGCCTTTCTTCATTGACACCAATTCACTCCCAATCACAAGGGTTTTCAAGTAAATAGCGTTGGTTGGAAGCTGCTGCAAATACTTCCTAAAGTAATCTCAGTCCGTGCTTCTTAAGATTGCAGACTGATCCCCTTAATAATATTTTAAATACTGAGAAACCTCAATTCTTTTTTTAATAATAATTGTTTTAAAAGTCTGTGTGGTTGATGCTAGGTGGCAGTGCTGTGTAATTAAAACTCCAAAGGATTCTGCTGGAACTTGTGACTACAGGCCACTTACTTTTCTGCACACACAATCAGAAGGTATAATTATGAGGCAAATATATTAGGAACTCATGGTTCTTTCTTAGAAACTCATTAAGAAACCATGACAAAGACTTTACCACTTGAAGGTCAGTAGTTTTCAAAAAGAACCTAAAATAGGACAAATCTATGTATATATGTTATACATTTTGATGACCAAATTAATATCAATAATTTATTAGAAAATGTAATATTCAGATAAAACAAATTATATGTTTCTGTTACTGGTGAAATCACATACATACAGTTTCATAAAGCTTCACTGGTGTCTTTTTTTTTTTGAGATGGGGTCTCACGCTGTCTCCCAGGCTAGAGTGCAGTGGTGCGATCTCGACTTACTGCAACCTCCTCCTCCTGAGCTGAAGCAATTCTCCCACCTCAGCCTCTCAAGTAGCTGGGACTACAGATGTGCACCACCACACATGACTAAGTTTTGTATTTTTAGTAGGGACAGGGGTTTCACCATGTTGACCAGGCTGGTCTCAAACTCCTGGCTTCAAGTGATCCAAGGGCCTTGGCCTCCAAAGTGCTGGGATTACAGGCATAAGCCATCATGCCTGGCCCCCAGTAATTTTTTAATGATGGGAATATCTAAGATATCTGCTATCTGGCTGCTATACTGTAGCCATTCCGGGAATAATTCATTGTTTTAGATGTCTACGGAAACCTAGTATTCAGGCTAAATATAATGTTAGGTATGATGGGGAGACAGTGGTGCATAATTTATGGCCCTCATACTCAAGGATGTTGCACTGCAGAAGAGGAGACTAAATAGCAGACAGACAATGTGGAATGTAAGTGTCAGACTTGCAAGAGGGCACACAGCAATCTGGACAACATGACTCAAGATTGAAAGACTCTGACACTTGCCTCTGTTCCTTCTTCCTCCTGGTGATCCTTTCCCCATAAATAATCTGTGAAAAAAATCCATCCAATTACTTTTTGTCTGAACTGAATTCCCTCCCATAGAGTAGGTGGAAGCAAGGCTGGCCTGGGTGGAGTTCTAATGGGGACTTTGAAATGTGACTGCCTTCGCTTTCCATTCTGGCTCTAGCCTTTACTAGGTGTATGACATTGAGCAAGCGACTGAACCTCTGTTAGTCCTATCACGAAGGAAAGTAACACTGGACCTACCTCTTGTGATTACTGTGAGGAATAATGAGTACAAGCTTGCCTTTTGAGGTGATAAAAAGTAAGTTCTAAAATTAGATTATGGAGACGGTTCTACCACTCTATGGATACATTGAAAATCACTGAATTGTACATTTTAAACAGGTGAACTTTATGATAGGTAAATTTACATCAATAATGCTGTTTAAAAAAAAGATCAATCAACTGTGGTATACAGCATAGAATACTATTAAGTAGTAACAAGGAAAGAATCATTGATACCTGAAAGTAAAAGCTAATGTGTATAAAATGGCTTGGCCCAGTGTATACACTGAAAATATTAGCTTATCTTTTGGCCCTTCAACCACAGGTTGCATGATCTTAGGAAATTCACTTGGGACACTGGGAAAGCCTCTTCAGGTCTCTATTCCTTCTCTGTAATGTAAGACATTGGACTACATCCCCTATGATTGCTTTCAGTTCCGAGACTATTTTAGATCCCAGGAAATGGTTTCTGAGTCTTCCTAAACTCTTCCTCCAGAGTTTCCCCTTCCCACAGGGCACAGGCTCAGTATATGGTTGCTGCCTGGGAGCTCCCTGCCTCTTTCAGTTGCATGTAAAAGCTATTTTCCACCCAAAGATCCATTCTTACTTTTGTTCACTTTATGGAGCCTGGACTGCATTTGAGTTGTGGAACAAAGAGAGAGAATATCATAATATAAAACAGTTGTCTTCAATTTTGCCCGCACGTTAGAGTCACCAAAGCTACTTTTCGAAAACATATCAAAACTCACATCCTGCCCCACACCAATTAATTCTAAATCTCTGGTGGGCCCTAAACAATTATTATTTTTCAAAAGCTTCTCAAGTGATGTCCATGCACAATGAAGGTTGTGAATCACTGCTAAGTAAGTTCAGAGGGAGCAAGCTCGCCTAGCTTTAGCAGGGGGCAAGAAGCACTATATGAACTGCATCTTGAAGGGCAGATAGAGATGGATGTACAGTTATAATGAGGGAAGAAAATTTCTAGGGAAGGCAGCACCTCTGTTCCATCTTATTCTAGAAGATGAAAAATTCCTAGAGAGAACTATATAAATAATCTAGGAAAGAAGGAGAAAGAAATATATTCGGAAGGGATGGTAGGTAATCAAAATCCAGGCCAGGAGATTGGCAAGCAAAAAAACTTATGACTAAAGAAAGGGACAAGATGAAAATACACTGCTGTGGTTACAGTTCCAGGCAATATGCGGAAAGCCCTGTGCCTAAGATCTATGTCTGTACAATAAGGCAAATCTGTCTGCTGCTAAGTCAACTGCAGTGAATTCATCTTATTCATTCATCGGGTCCCTTAGTCTTCCTCCTCTGCTCCAAGTGACACCATATGTATTGCCAATCTCTAATCTAATCCCAGGGTCCATCATTGCTAATCAAATCAGAATGTCAACTCTACTTAATTGGAAGCCCCATACACATTTTTCTCCTGCTCTTAGAAGAACCGAGATAGATAGCTGAAGACTATTGGTTACATACCCAAATCAAATATTGTGACAGCGACATTGATGTATAGACAAAAAAGAGAGCTGGCTAAGAAAAGAAAGGGGAGAGTCTTATATTTTGTGCCTCTGAATTACCAAAAAATGCAGGAAGGTTCTGAATTGTAATTTTCATTAGCTCGCAAAAGGCTTGATGTGCCTCTGGATAATTAAGGACTGGCCATATTTCTATAGAGATCTATTGCCTATAGATCCCTTCCATGGTATGTTATAGGCAGCTAGCACCACCTTAGAAAGGTTACTTGTTAAATTTTCAGGAATTTCATGAGTTACTTGACTTCAGCCTGAAATTGGTCATGGTAGGAGTATATGCAATATGAAAATGGGGCAAATGCTGTAAATCAGGGCTCTTCCAATCCCAGAGTACATTTTGAAACATTTACCATCACACGACAGTTTCAGAACCACAGCTTTGCCCAACTCTTATTGTTTGTAGACTACAATGGGAATGGCTTTCCCTGGAAATCACCAGACAAATTTTTCTTCCCATGTTGATCGACATTATGGTCCTGTATCCCTTTGCTGATGTTTTCTGAGTAGAATAGTAGGACAATTATTCCACTTCTGTCCAAATAATCAATGCCTGTAAAAATGGCCCATAGTGGCCAACTTGGCAAATCGTTGGCCATCAGCTTTGCAGTGGTTTTCAAATACTAATCCATAAGTAGGTCATTTTTATACAAATTGCAATTCCTGAAGACCTCACATATTTCAAAACTCATGCAATTAAAGGTAAATTTTCCCATAGGAATATAGATCTGCAACCATTAGTAGCACATATTTGTTTTATATACACTTTTAATTTTCTCAATATTATTTGTAATATTTTATAGAGGCTACTCATCTAAATGAATAATATAAGCTACATTAGTGGTTGTCAGATCCTTCTCACAAAATTATCATCACATGTAACCTGCTTTTTCATGTTAGTGATTTTAAGGAGCATTTTTCAACATGAATGACAGCACTACCATTTGCTATAGACTGAATGTTTATGCCCTCTGCCTTCATACGTTGAAACCTCACCCCCAGTAGATTGGTGTTACTAGGTGGGGCCTTTGGGAGGTGACTGGGTCATGAGGACAGAGTGCTTACGAATGGAATTAGTATCTTTACAAAAGAGACCCTGGATAACTCCCTTACCCCTTCTGCCTGGTGAGGAGACAGCAAGAGAAACCAAGATGTCAGCCCCCACCAGACACCCATCTTGTACTTCCCAGCCTCCAACTCTGCAAGGAAAATTTATGTTTTTTATAAGCCACCTAGGCCATGGTATTCATTTACAGTAGCCCAGCTGAGACATCGTTTAATGACTGCCTTGATGGCGTATATACAAAATATGTAGCAACAGTGAACATTACAGAGGCATAGCAATAATTACCAAAATTATTTGTATGTAAAAAATAGTGTGATTCCACGATACGAAACACCAGGTATTTGAAATTACTAAGTAAACTAGTTTAGCTGGTGTTAAAGATTATAATTCATCTGGTCTGCTAACTTTAAAACTGTAAATATCCATTTTCACTTGGAGAAATCATATTGTTTCAAATTTTGCGCATAATATACACTTTGTCTTGGTATATCTACATTGTCCTATTTCAAACTCATATAAAATGTCACATACTAGTCAAAAGAAAAACCGGCAATACTTGTTAAAGATGTAAATCCCCCAGCTCTCCTCCTATGTGCATATGGAGTAGGGTGCATTTTTGACAAGCAACCCAGATAACATCAGAAAATTCTGGTGTGGGTGGCATATGTGGTCCAATGAAATATTGATCTAATTCTTCTGCCTTTTGAAAATCCGAGCTGGAAAATCCTTCAATGAAAGGCTTCAGCTTCTATAAAATGAAGCAGGCTTATTTTTATACAGTTAAGTTTACCTTTGTATAAACCAAATATACTGGAAATATATTTCATCATCAGGGGAATGGTTCAATAAGCCATGGCACATCCATGAGCCAGAGGCCAGCTACCACTTTGCACCTTATCAGTCTTAAAAAGCTCTACAGGGACGGTGTTGTATTTGAAAGATTCATGCTACACCTCATTTTAATCATGGACACAATAACCCCCATCTCTTCAAAGTCATTTAGCAGTTAATTTTCAAGAATACATCAAGTAGATTTTCTATGGGCCCATCTGTGCGGCACATTTATTTTCTGTGACTGTGTTGCTGAGCACAATGAAAACCTTGACTACTAATGAACAGGGACCCAGAGAAAGGTCCGGCTGCTGCTGTGGCTTGATGCTGTTCTTGGTGAGAAGAGAATTCTTTTCACCTGGGGTGGCGGCTGCAGGTCTGTCGAGCTATGGAAGCTTTTCAAGGGAAGCCTTTTCATAGAGCTGTTTCACTTCCCTCTCATCTTCATCACCTGAAGAGTAATTTCAAATATGGTCTCCTGGCTGAGAAGCCACAAAGCTAAAAGCAATCTTCTCTACCGTGTTTGAATCGACAGAACTTGGGGTTCCAATGAGACACCAATGTCTGAAACTATGAGAAACGCTCTGATGTGGAAGCAGTATTAATTTAGAGGTCAAGGACTTGGGCTTTAGAGATGTAACTTCTATACCCTCAGTTTTATCATCTGTAAAATGAGACAAATAATATAATTCATCTTATAGGGTTATGGGGAAATTAAGATAAAAGATGTAAAGTTCTTAGCAAACTGATGGCAAATAAGTGTGCAATCTGTCAATACATTATATATGACATTACATATAATATAATAGTATATAATCAATTTAATTTTATCTGTCATTATTACTACTAAGAGAAAAAAAAATCTATAAACCTATTGTTACCATGATCAGTCAGTCAATGCCTGGGGCTACCAATTCTAAATCATTTTTTGCAAGCTACTAAATATAGGGGAACACCCACTGCCCTCTGAGACTATAGTCTTCAGGATATGGGGTAATTTATTATCTTATCACTGGTGCTTGCCAGGTTATCATACTGGTGAGAATGAGAGGAAAACTCATTCCTGAGCCAAGTACACTTCAACTTAGCATTGCAAATGATAAATATATTTCTAAGGAAACCCATATTATGTTATAGGCTACTGCATCTGTTATGCCTAAATGTATTATAAATGATTTTTTCTGAGTCCACATAGATATCTCAATGATAGTTGAGGATCAAATCATCTAATTTTATCAAGTAGTATAAAAGTGTTTCTGTAGCATCTTATCCTCAGAGTTAGTTCAATGTAGAATTTACAAACTATCACATATATTTTATCTGATTGGTTGAAACAGTGTAGTTTTTTAATGTGTATAAAACCTTAGCAGGTTGACGGCAGTTTCAAGTTAGCCACGATAGTCACTGTGATTCTGTAGAAAGGCCTAAGAAATTGGTTTAATAAAAGCAGAATGGTGAGAAAGATACTGTTTTTGAAGAATAAATCAGGTGACAAGAAATAATACCAAAAGAAAGACTAAAAGTGAGATCTTAAAGTTTTTCCAAGCTCAAAAGACCTTGTTGGAGCCTCCCCTGAGTCCCTCCCTTTCACAAACTTGTCAAGAGATATTTGTGCGTCCATCACTTCCCACAGTCTACTCTGTTTTGTCATTATTTACCCTTCTGGGATTACTAGATAGTAAACTCCTGAAGGGGAGATAATACATTCTCATTTATATCTTTTCCCCCAAAGTACCCAGCACAAACTTTGTTCATGGTGTTTATTTAATCTACTGCTGCAGAATTGAAGTGTGAACTGTATGCTTAAACTTCATAGAAAATGCATGTAGAGGAAGGCATTTAAAAATGCAATGAAGGCCGGGCGCGGTGGCTCACGCCTGTAATCCCAGCACTTTGGGAGGCCGAGGCGGGTGGATCATGAGGTCAGGAGATCGAGACCATCCTGGCTAACAAGGTGAAACCCCGTCTCTACTAAAAATACAAAAAATTAGCCGGGCGCGGTGGCGGGCGCCTGTAGTCCCAGCTACTCGGGAGGCTGAGGCAGGAGAATGGCGTGAACCCGGGAAGCAGAGCTTGCAGTGAGCCGAGATTGCGCCACTGCAGTCCGCAGTCCGGCCTGGGCAACAGAGCAAGACTCCGTCTCAAAAAAAAAAAAAAAAAAAAAAATGCAGTGAAAAGTGCAAACAGATTTGGCAGTTCAAGAATGAGTATTAATTTAGGCAAAGGGAAATTAATTTCTTTTTAGGTAGGACAAATTGTCTAATATTTAGGACTGCTTTGCAGAATATGATTGCTTTCTTCACGCATGCATTCATTCACTTCATTATGGGAAAGAAGCACAGTAAGGTGGTAAGAAATGTGCTCTGGTGTGGACTGTTTCTGTTCCAGTCTTGTATCAAGCACTATCAGCTAAGTGGTCTTAGATAAGTTACCTCTTTACACCTTGGTTTCCTAATGTGTGAAACAGGAATAACAGTAACAATGATACCTACTTTATGAAGTTATCCTGTGGGTTAAATGAAATAATCCATGCAATGTGCTACATAAAATTAGCCCTGAATTCTATTTGAATCTATCCTGTTTATAGCACTGTACTGTTCACAGGATGGAATTTAAGACACCAGGGCATGGTTTCCTTCATCTAGAAGTTTACAATATACAAGGCAACAAGACACCAAGGAAAAAGTTAATTGTATATGACTAAATGCCATGTTAATTCAGTGGCCACTGAGGGTTGATATAGTTGAATAAGGGAAGAGAAGCATATATTCACTGAGCCTTGTAAGTATCAGGCATTTCTCAGAAAACGCAACCTTGCTTTTTAAAATAATTTTTCTCTGTAGCAGTCAGGATTTTCCCTGAACCCTGAGGAATGTGGGATTTCAAACTCTGGCCCTTCAACAGAATTGGGGGAATGATGTGGGGGAAAAAATGGGGAATCATGAGGAAAGAAAAAGTGATTTTACAAAGAGCAGAAAATAGTCTAAAATAAATTACTAGTTGCCTTAAATTGGGAACCTTAAGCAGTCAATATAAGTTGAGGAACAACAATATTACTAAAAATTTCCAGGTGTGGTGGCTCAAACCTGTAATCCCAGCACTTTGGGAGGCAGATCACTTGAAGTCAGGAGTTCGAGATCAGCCTGGCCAACATGGTGAAATCCTGTCTCTAATAAAAATACAAAAATTAGCTGAGCATGGTGGCAGGCGCCTGTAATCCCAGCTACTTGGGAGGCTGAGGCAGGAGAATCGCTTGAACCTGGGAGGTGGAGGTTGCAGTGAGCCGAGATCACACCACTGCACTCCAGCCTGGGTGACAGAGTGAGACTCCATCTCAAAAAAAAAAAAATTACTAAAAATAGCTAACTTTTAAAAAATGTTTTTCATATGCCAGGAAAGCGAAGTACTTCATACGCATTCTTTCATTTATTCCTCACAGTAGCGATATGAAGTAGGTAGTGTTATTTTCATTTGACACATAAGGAAAAAGGAATTTGAGGAATTTAAACAATGTGCCCCAAATGCCAACATGGTGTGACTTATACCACTAACCAAGAAAGAAATACGTGTAGTTACAAAGACAGTTGAGATGAAGGAAGATAGCTTCCTGATTCTCCCACTTGACAGCTATAGAAAGTTAGAAGCTATATTCCCACTCTTTCCTCCTATCCAAGGCTGAAAGAAATCTCCACTGAGTAACTATGTTCTCATTCTGACCAACAACTCGAATAGAACAAAAAAGCAAGTGGAATGGCTTCCAAGAGAGGAAGTATGTTCCATTAATTGTTGGCATGGTCTGATGTCATTTTAGACATTGGGAATAATACATATAGGCTGAAAGATCTCTCAAGACACAGTCAAATCCAAGCACAGTAAAACAAAAAGATCTCCATCAATTTAGCTTAAATGACATCGTCTTAAGAAGATGTTCCGTTTATTAAGGCTAAGCAAAATCTGTGTCACTTTACATCTTCTTCTTAAATGAAAACCTCAGAAGACAACCCTCCAACTCAGGACAATATATCAAAATAAACTGACTTACAATCTAAATACTAAGATAATATCTGCATTCTCTATGCTTTAAGAAAATATTAATTATGTCCATGGTGGTTCTAGTGTTCGTTTTGTTGTATGCTGACTTATTTATTTTATAGCACTTCTCACTTCTAAGTTAGCAGTTTAAATTTGTGAGGCCATTCAATTGCTTTCTCCTTAGGATGTGGAACCTCAGAGCCTTTCACTCTATGCTTCTAAAGGGTGAGTCATTTAGTATTAGCTTAAAATGATTAAAATAGACATTAAAGTATGTAGGTTTATCTTAGACAACCATATCTTTGCAAGGAATAAATGTTTCTTTTCATGAATATCAGAGACAACATGAAATGCCTGGCAAGGAGTAACTAAGAATGTACACACCAAATCATCTCTCTCTCTTTCTGACCCTCAACACGTACACATCTTTCCTAGAATTCACATCTCTCACGTAAGTTGATTACACATTACAAAAGGATGTCAATTCTTTATTAAATGCAATGAAAGACTACAATAAGAATATACCTCAGTAGGCCGGGTGTGGTGGCTCACGCCTGTAATCCCAGCACTTTGGGAGGCTGAGGCAGGTAGATCACCTGAGGTCAGGAGCTCGAGATCAACCTGGCCAATGTGGTGAAATCCCGTCTCTACTAAAAATACAAAAATTAGCTGGGCACATTGGCGCGTGCCTATAATCTCAGCTACTCGGGAGGCTGAGACAGGAGAATCACTTGAACTTGGGAGACAGAGGTTACAGTGAGTCAGCATCGTACCAGTGCACTCCAGCCTGGGCAACAAGTGTGAAACTCCATCTCAAAAAAAGAAAAAAGAGAATATACCCTCAGTAGTAAACAGTGCAGCCCTTTACATTTTAGAAAGCCCTCTCATGCACGCTGTCTCATTTTATTGTAAGGAAACTAAGGCACGAGGAAGTCATGTGGCTGATATTGGAGGAGAGTGCCTGGAACAGAGAGGACTCTAAACAATTGCTAGCCCCTGTGTAGTACTAACTTCTAACTCCGTGTCTGGCTGCAAAGTGATGATTTGTGAACCTAATTTGGCTTGCAGATGTGTTTCATATGGTCCACACAGCATTTTAAAAAAATGAATTCCTTGCCAATATTTTTAAAGGAGTATTTTGTAACATAAATAAAACCCAGATTTCCAACTTGCTTTAAAATCAGAACATCTGATCTCACCAGGCCTATATTCCCTGAAGGCAACAATTGGCCGGAACTCAGTGACTATACTCATGCGTTCTCTTTCCCACTTTGGGCTTGGGGCGTGTCCCGTTCATGTGTGTATGGCCTCCTTACAGGCATCTGAATTTAGACCTCGCACCATCACGTGTTTCAAGGCAAAGGTTCCCAGTCCATGGGGAAGTCTGCCAATTTCTCACCAAGAGATGATGGAATGCAGACTGAAATTTAAGAATCTGAATTTTAGAACTGGAATAAACTTGGAAATCACTCAAACTCACGGTTCACAGTCAGCTACTGCAGGGCTCCAGGGGAATCTCAAAAACCATTTCCTTGGGTTTTTTTTTTAATATTAAAATCTAATTACCGATGTACTGAAGTAAATTGGTTTTCTTTTTCTAGTAGAAATTGTCTTATTTTAAATCTTTATGATGGTAGTGCTCTTCCTTACGTGTTTACATCTTCCTTGGAAATACTTCTTCATTTGTCTGTTTGCCTATTTATTTATTTGATATGGCAATTATTATCTCAAGTCATAGTAACATTAGTTGAAGTCACTGCTAATCAAGTGTTTTGATTATGTATGCTTTGAAATAACACACGATCTTGACAGATAAACATGGGAGACATTTATTTACTACTGAATAAATACAATTTGGTTTTAAATATATTTAAAAATATATCCAAACCTGGGTCCAGTAGGAGTTAAAAATAAAATATATTTTATAGTGAAAATATTAGGAAGCATCTACTTATTTTAACAGCTCATTTTACAGAAGAAAAAGCTGTGGCCTATATAAAGTAAGTGGTTTATGTGAGATTGCTCAATGGGCAAAGCGTGAAACTAACAGTCTAATACAGGTGTTTGCTCCATGATATATGTCCTGCCTGAGGTATCTTTCATGGGATATGGAACATACCCAATTCTTTCTAGCACAGATTAGAACATTGACTTCTCTAGCATTGGATTGGGAACTACAACAAGCCTTGGGGACAAAAAAACTAATAGCTCACTGTTCCTCCCCTCATGAGAGCTTTTCTGGTGAGGAAGGCAGGGAGAGAAATAATAAAACACAGTGTCATAGGTATCATGATACAAAGAAACAGAAGAGAAACAAATGAAAGAGAAAACAAAAGCAGAAACATTTTTGGAGGCCTCAGGAATGATGATGAGTTCAGTTTTGAACAGGATAAAGTTGGAGGAGACAAATCCAGATGGCGCAGTTGGATATCTGGATAAGGATCTGTGGTAAGCAAGATTTGTTTTCTGCGACCTTTGGCCCCGATGTCATGTCAATGAATATGTTCCACAGCAAAAGGAACTTTGCAGCTGTCATTAAGATGACTAATCATTTGACCGTGAAATTGGGAGATTATCCTGCGTTTCCCAGGTAGGCCCAATGGGATCACATGAGCCCTTAAAAGCAGAACTTTCTCTTAGCTGAGAGCAGTATAAAAAGTAATTGCAAGAACGAGAAGAATTTGATATGCCTTTGTGTCAAGGAAATAGAAACTTAAGTCCTACAACCACAAGGAACTAAATTCCACCAGCCACTTGGATGAGTTTGGAAGTAGATCCTTTCCCAGAGCTCCAGAAAGAGATGCAGGCTTGCTGATACCTTGATTTCAGTCTTGGGAGACTCAAAAGAGAGAAAGAACCCTGCTAAGCTACACTGTGCCCAAACTTTTGAACCATGGACCCTGATATCATCAGTAGACGTTGTTGTCTGTTAGCAAATTTGGGGTAATTTTGTTAAGCAGCAGTAGAAAACTAATATGGCATCTTAGATAAGAGGTTGAGAGGAAAGATGAACTAATTATTTCTCATCCTAACACCTTGCAGTTCAATATTTCAAATGAAGAGTATATATACAGGTAAATCTGATATGTCATTGGAAGACCAACATTTGTCTTTCACGTGGACATAGAAGTTAGAACAAGAAAGAACTATTATTGGAAGCAAAGAAGGAAACACTATTTATATTTTTAATTATTTTTTATTTTTTGAGACAGAGTCTCACTCTGTCCTCCAGGTTGGAGTGCAGTGGCGTGATCTTGGCTCACTGCAACCTCCACCTCCCAGGTCCAAGCGATTCTCGTGCCTCAGCCTCTCGAGTAGCTGAGACTACAGGTGTGCACCACCATGCCCAGCTAATTTTTGTATTTTTATTAGAGATGGAGTTTTGCCATGTTGACCAGGCTGGTCTCAAACTCCTGACCTCAAGTGATCCACCTGCCTTGGCCTCCCAAAGTGCTGGGATTACAGGTATGAGCCAAGGCGACAGGCCAAGAAACATATTCAATGGAAAGAGTCCCCACATACCAATAATTGTATGAGGTGTTTTCTGTTATCCTTTAATGATCACACTAAACCAGTGGGGCACATATATTACTGTTTCTATTTCTTGATGAGAAGACTGGAGCTCAAGATATGAGTCAAAGGCCAACAAGTAATTAGTGGCAAAGTCAAAATAAGCTTTCAGTTAACCCAGTCTCTTTGATGGGCAATCTCCGGTGGTTTATTTGTAACATATGTATGAGGTCTGTCATTAAGAATACAATTTTCTGGGTTTACATGCCCATGGCAAAAATGGTCACTTTACAGGCCCAGCTTGGAACAATTCTTGAGCTTTTGAAGAAAGCTTTTGTCAAATAGGACTCTAATCTGCAGGACACACAGTTCTCCCTGAGTGACTGTTCCCTTCTCTCTGACATAAAGTCCTCCAAGAAGGTCATAAGATTTCCCTGCCCCTGGCATCACAGTGAATTCGACCACTGAAGCATATGGTGCCTGACGCTGGAAATGTTGTCCCTCTGAATTCTAGAGTTAATTTTGGCAATCCTAAGCAGGATTCCGCTAAGGATTTCAATGCATTTCTACTCCCTGCAGTGAGGGGCAAGAATTTTCTCGTACCTGCTCCAGGAAATCTGTATATGCATTTTTATCTGGAGAGCCTAACAGATTTTCTCACCTCTGGTCCTTCTTGCTCCACTGTGGTTTGTCCACATTAATCTTCTCACTGATTTATCTCTTCTCATTCCAAACAGCTTGGATGCTATTGCCTCAATTACTTTCTTTGGGAAATTATGCTGTTGTCTAATTGACCTTATTATTAATTTTATTTTCTGTTATCTAATTTATTCCACCCTCTTCTCCCCCTAACCCTTAGTTTCAGGCCATTACCCCTTATTTCTTTCATTTCCAGTCAATCACCTTTTTTTTTTTCCTTCTAAGGCCTTGTAATAATCTCTAACAGCAGCAAATACTTACAGAGAATGTAATGGCCACAACAAAGACACTGGGATGCAAAATCTGTATGTTCTTCAGTCTCTCCTTCCAGTGCAGATATGAACCTCTCCCATTATTATTTAAGAATGGCAGATTCTTTTTTCCTGGACTTTATAACTCATTGCATTATAATGCATCCAAATTTTCTCTCTCCTCTTGTTTCTATCCTTCCCTCCGTTTTCATCCTGCTATTTTCCTCTTCTTTCTCTCTGTTTTTTCTTCATCTCTCTTTTGTCTTCCTTTTTTTTCGGTATGCAAGATTTACTGTTTTCATCTATTCAATAGAGGCAACTTTTTATTTGATACATTTTAGAATATATAAAAATAAAAAAAATTTGAAAATAGATTCATAATTATAAAAACTAAGATAAGCACCAATAACATTTTGCTACAGTCCTATCATCATAGCTTGTTATGTTTTAAACCAAAGAGAGCTCCATGAAAAGAAATGGTCGCTAACATTTTTTTAAGTAGAGCCTCTATTGTTCACCTTCTTAAAATGCAGAGGACTTTGCCTCCTTCCTGCTCCAGTTGTTATGAAAGAAAGTTATCAATTTCTACTACAGTTCGAGGAAGAAAACCTTTGCTTCAGTCTGGGGACAGGAGGGCATGCTTCATGAAAGTGATGATAGTTAAGCTCTACTGTCAAAGGGGAGCATGGGGTCAGTTCTGGAAATACCACAGAGGATAGAAAGAAGGAAGGGGATTCCAGAGAGAGTATGTGGTCGGAGAGAAAGAGGCATAGATTTTGACCAGCAGGACCTCTATTGGAAAAACACTGAGTATTCCCATGTGCCTGGCCATAAAGTGTAACAGAAGTGATGCAGTGGGAATGGAGACTAGGAAGTTGCATCTGCCATTGATCGTAAGGGCCTTGAAAAATGACAAGATCAGAAATGCAGGGAACAGAGAGCCCCTGAAGATTTCAAGTAGAGAAATGAGATGATCCAGACTGTGCTCTGGAAGATTATTCAAGTATAATTGGGAGGCAATATTGTAGGGTAGCAAGAATATGTGTTCTGCATTGGATTGTGCAGATTAAAGTTCCAATTTCTCCCTTTATAGGTAAGATGTGTATGGTATTTGGCAAATTATCTATCATCACTCTACCTCAATTCCCTCATCCGTAAAATGTGGATAATATTACTTACCATGTAGGATTTGTCTTAGTTCAAGTTCTCTGGAATCAGAACCTGAGAGGAGGATTCATGTGTAGGTCATTTGCTAAGGTGCTCTCCCAGCATAGATCTGCAAGGACACAGGGAAGAGGGAATGGGAGCAAGCCAAGGGAAGGATGGATCTCAGACACAGGCCACAGAGATCCACTTCAACATCATCCTCCCGTGTGACTCAGAGTGCACGTTATAGTTTAGAGATGTCCTGATTTGGGGTAATGGATCTCAGGATTTTGTACTCCCAGGAGCCACACCTGTGTGACTGGGAGGATGATGGAGTCATTAGCTGGAAGACACCTATCAAGAGGTAGAGTTTTGAGGGGGAGCAGGAGAATCTATTCAACTGTGGACATGATTATCCAAAGGAAACCAGCAAATGAAGAAGAGATATGGCTTTCTCCGACAGAATACCTAAACACAAATGCAAGGTTAATTTTCATGGAGAGAGAAGTAAAATAAACCATTATTAGTCATTTAAATTCCTTCACTTGCCCTGAGAAGAAGAATGAATCCTGAAGAAGGTAGATTCTTTGCTGAGCAAGGTGATGGGGTGGGAATGCAAGCGGGGTGTGTCTGGAGAGGGGCAGTAGGCTGACAGAGGAAAAGGAAGGGCAGATTTGAGTTAAATGCAGGGAAGAGACCGGGAGATGCAGCAGGAGATGCTGGAGAAAGATGCAGAGGAAGAACCTAAAGAAACTTGAAAGAATCTAAGAAGACTCCAAGTGCTGCATAGAGAGAGGAAATTTATAGAATCCAAGAAATTTTTAAGAGAATTGTTCAGAGAGTTTGCTGTGTTTTCTTCCCATGAAAAGTCAGTAAAATCTGTGTCTTGAACTGCTGTCTTCAGGAGTGACTGTTAGGGTGTGGGAGAGGGAATGGGCTCTGCATGAGACAAGGGGGCACCTCTTGGTGCTTCCAACAACTACCTTCCCTAAAGTCAATTATATTCAAGTTATACAAGACACCAGTCACTATAAGAAAAATACTACACAGTAGCTCTGAAAGCAGGGTCTCCAGGCAGTCACAAACAGCCCAGAATGGAGCAGGGACTAAAAACAGTGGAGAGAGAAAGGAAACTGCATCTGAACTCAATTATATCAGTCAGCCAATCAGTTCTCCAAGACACTGTGTATTATTCATAGTAAAAGTTAAAACAAAAAAGAAAATGGAGACTAATCATAAAAAAGCTTAATCATGAAAACAGAGCACACACATCTCTAAACAAAGAGCCTCTGGAGCCAATCACAAGCTCAAAATGAAGAGAGATACAGTACAGTTGTCAACTGGCTGAAGCATCAGAAAAAAATCCTGAGTTAATCAGAAGGCATTCTTTCTATCCAGTGAGCTCGTACCCATTACAATCCACTGTGCTAATGACCATTACTCAAAATGACAACATCGTAACTAAAATCACCATTTGTTCAAGTTAATTTCTTGAAGATCTGTGATTTTCCTCCATTACATTTAATATTTATGAATCCTAACTCACTGGAACTTCTCTATTTTCTGGTTATTACCATTCATTTTCAGCATGTAAAATGAAGGTCATTAAAGTTGGACTTTTCCTTTTCTTTCCCATTTACCTAGCATTACTTCTTTAAAAGGCAATATAATTCCAATCAAATGCTTGGCATACAATAACAGTTTTGCCTTTACTTGAATATTATGTTATTGGGAACAAAATTCAGGTCCCATTAACTTTGTCGGCTACGTAGAAGTATTTCTCACCTTAAGCAATAGCTACTTTCTAACAAATCTGGCTAGAAAGTCAATACTTTTGGTAGGTAAATCCTGATTTCACTTTGGCTTCTATTGTAAGAGAAGAAAAAAATATTCGAAAGACTTTGAAAACCACTGGCAGAGAAGACATGAAGTTGGCAGGCAGGTTAACAGCATGCTGAGTACAATATTCTGAGTTCTTTCTCCTCACTCTTTCCTCTTTCCCTGGAATTTCTCATTTGATTCATGATTCCTTTGGGATATAATATTCATGGTTCTTGGAACTCAATGCCTTTCTTACTTTTCTGGGAACTTACAGTGTTAAATGAAATTGATTCAGCTTGCCAATGGGTTCTGTAATCAAACAAATGAGATATTCTTTAATGTTACAAATCTTTGGATTCTGAAAAGGAAATGCATACCCTATGGCAGAAAGTACCTAATGGAAAATCTGTGAAAGTTGGGCTACTGAAGTAGCCGCTGCCACACTTGGATTGCCTCACACACACATTCTCATGCCACGGTTCTCATCGCTTGGTATCACTGGAGATGCTGACTTTTAATTAAATATGTTTAACAAAAAGGGAGGTTCAAATCTTCTGCATAACATGCTATACATTGGTGACAGAGTTATCCTTAGACCTCACTTCTATGTAGTGCTTCCTCACTCCCACTTCTTTTCCAAGTTTAGAAAACACTTTTCTCAGAAAACCCCAGAAAAGTTTCCCACCATTGCTCTTGGACTTCTGTGCATAGATGGAAGGGGAGAGGGGGCAAGCAGAGAGACAGAGAGACCACAAACGAAGTAGAATGTCATGCAGTAAAATGATGACACAAATAAGAGCTAAGTGAAAAGCAAAGGACTTTGGTCAAACTGAACTGGTATGGAGTGGTCCCTCATGCTGGGAAAATGAGTTGAAGAGGGCCCTTGGAGGGAATCTACTGTAAACAATAAATATGAAAGAAAAACCAACAACCAAACTTAATGCCAGTTTTAGTTTCAAATTAAATGCTTTGTCTTTGGAGAATTCACACACACACACACACAAAGGGGGATAGAAAGGTATTTCTGTCTTACTTTCTTTGAATCAGCGAGGACATTCAATCATTGTCTTTTGCTGGCTCATCCTCATCCGAAGCAGTGGGTGGTGTGGAAAATGGGACTTGATGTAAACCAGCCTGGCAAAGAAGTATCCCTAAGTTCCAGCTCTTACCAGGCCAGGAGTTTGTACCCCCTTTCTACTCAGTGTTGGGACAAAGAAAAGAAACTTATGCCTTAACTTAATTATAATTAAGACACCATAGACAAAGTAGGGATGAGGTTATTTTTAGGGCTGCCTAAGAAAAAACACAACAAAATGTTCCATCAGCATTTAAAATACTAAATATGTGAGAAAAAAATTTCAGTCTCTTCTTTCTAGGAGCTCGAATTATGACCTAAGGACTTATTTGAAAGCTTGTTGGGGAACATGTCAAAACGATATGAGAAATGCCTTCCTACCTCCCGATGAGCTTATTTCAAAAAGGGGAGAAAATGTGAGGCGAAGGGAAGGATACTGCTGGAAAGATTCAGACAGGCCAGTAAGAGTAACAGCAGATGTGGAGAAAGATTATACGGAGAAGGTAAGCATTCACTGCAGCTGCAGTCCTGAAAACGGGAGAGAGAACTGTGTAGATTAGATGGAAGGCAGGTTTGGTGAATGAGAGGAGAATGAGAAATGTGGAATTAAAAAGCCTCTGAAGGTGCCGGGCCAGGAAGACTCAGTGGATCCTGGTAATGCAAACGATGGCCAAGAAGTTGACCGCAAATTTGATCCTTCTCTCCAGGAAAAAGATGAGAATGCCAGTTACAAGAAGGTATAAATTGAACCACCAGATAGCAGGCTGGTTAGAGCAGAAACATATTATTCTCTGTGCTACTGAAAGTACTCACACATCTTTATGTTCACAGTCCTTTAAACACAGAGCAACTCAATAAATTCTTATTTATGTGATGCCATCAGCAGTAGCAGCGCCCAGATAGTTTTAGTTTTCCTCTTTTGTTTATAGGCAGAGGGGGATACAATACAATGCATGTGATTTCTTTTTTTTTTTTTTTTTTTTTTTACTTCATATCAGCTAGTGACTGCCCTTGGAGTTGAAGTGTTAAGTTGGGAATGGAAGGGTTTTGACAGTTTTACCATACATCTTTTTATTCACGAAGACTTCTAATCTTGAAACTGGCTCTTTGTTTTAAATCAGGCATCTATTGATTAACCATGAGACCAAGCACGGCTCACCAGGGGCTGAGGTGGGGTATACACTGTGGAATTAGGACAGTTAAACACTGAAATCGATCCCCCCTTTCTCCTGCCGCTGTTGCTGTAGCAAGCTGTTTCTCTAAGCTATTAATTTTATTATTAGCACACCTGGAGGCATTGCTTCCCTCAGGGAAAAGCAATTCAACTGTGTGTGCCACAAGACTAGTGGCGGATGATCAATGACACAGCTGGGACCGGACAGGGAGTTGCATCCCATCCTCACCTATTTGAAATTTGGAGATGATCTCTCTTGCAAAGTAAGGGACACAGAATCAGGTCTTGTTTCAGATTCTCTCGCTGCACTCTTTCACCAAACTTTAACAAGAACTTGATCTACTGTTTGTTTTTAAAGGAAATAAGGAAATAGAAGTCCAGTAAGTTCTATGACTAAACAGGCCAGATCATTTTGTGGCTACCTTTGAGCCATTTCCCCATTCTATTTCTTGTATGTAATGGGGAGTAGAAAAAGAGGGGTCACACCTAGATCAGAAGTTGTAAGCTGGCTGCTCAAGGCTTAGCGCCCTCCTTTGCCAAGAGTGATGTTGACTCTGTGAACTGCACAGAAATTGATGCAGTTTTGAAAACAAATTAGTGGCCAGCTTTCAGAAAGCAGGATATTTCATATGAATCTCTAGATATCTGGTTTCTTATTTAAAACTTAGATCCTAACACTGGATCTCTACAACCTATTTTGCAATTGACAGGAATTGAGGAGTGACTGGCCCCTTTGCAGGACTGAAGCGTTCTATGGTTTCCTGCATTCTCTCTTGGCTCACAGGGCCTGTGAATTCTCCCTGCTCTGTCCCTGGGCAGTTTGAAATTGTAGTCTCTAGTGAAGATTATCCCCACAATTTAAGTTATCTGGGAATATTCCAATACAAATAATGCCCTTCTCAGGCTATGACAAATCTCTGTCTTCCTTGATTCCTTTCTCCTTTCTTTTCTCCCCATTTAATCCTCTCTCCCTCCCTCCCTTTCTCCCTCTCTCTCTCTATATGTGTATATATACACACACATATATACTCTCTATATATACACACATGTATATATGTATTTATATGAGACATATAAATATCTCATACTCTAGAAAGAAACAAGTTTTAGCAAAAGTACATTTTACAACCGAGAATATGGAAAGAAGACCTAGAGCTAACTTAACTATTTTGAAGGTGTCCAGATGATGAGGTTGAGGCTGCCTTATTTCATGTTCATATGGAAGAACATATATTTATCTGTTCTTACAGCACAAACAATGCCAATTTTGTTGCCAGAGAAGTCCCAGGACACAGCTTATTCATTGTTCTGATGTTCTGTACCGGCTGGGTAGCAGGGCAAATGCAGTTTACAATGAAAACAGATTTTGATCACAAATAATCAATATACTGAGTTCTATCAGCCCCAGGAAAAAGTATAAAGAAGCCTCTTGGCTCTTATAGTCCAATTTTCTGTATCCTCCAAAGACTGACCCCCTCCTCCATTCCTTTAACAAATGTTGATAGAGCAAATATTACTGTGCTAGGAACTGATTCTTGAACAAGTCATATGGATTAGGTAGCCTTCCACTTGACTGTCCATCATCAGAAATCCATGGGAATCCACTTCTGACTTCCAGCACGCCATGTTGTAGAAATAGCACACGCTTTGGAAGGAGACAGCTGTGGGTTTGAACCCTGGCTCTGCCACTTATTAACTGTGTGTCCCTGTTAGGTTACTTAATCTCTCTGAGTTTATATATCTTGGCTCTTACAGAGAGCACTAGTGAAATGGTTTTAATAATGTCTATCTCTAGTAGAACAGTATAAAATGAAGCAACTGTCCAATTCCTTAATGACTCCAGGTTGGATCTAGCTGAATTCACTGACAATCTTGGCATTCAAGATCCCAGAATCGATTGACTTCCTCATGAGGTGTATGGCAAGATATGCTACAGACATAACAGGAGTATGGGTGAGACAGTCAGTTACAGGCAGACCTCCCTCAGTACTCGCTGGAGATTAGTTCCAGGAAATGCCCCCACCCCTCCAAAATTCAAAGATGCCTAAGTTCCTTACATAAAATTGCATGGTATTTGCATGTAACCTACACGCATCCTCTAGTATACTTCAAATCCTCTCTAGTGACTTATCATACCTTATACAATGTATATACTATGTAAAGTGTTATATTTTATTTTTAACTTTGTGTTATTTTTATTTTCATATTGTTATTTTCCTGAATATTTTCAGTCCATAGTTGGTTGAATCCATAAACGCAAACCCACGAATATAGAGGGATGACTGTATATTGATCAGAATTTTACAGTTAAGATGTGTAAGAAAGCATATATATATATATATACACACACATATATATATACACACATATATGTACACACACATATATATATACACACACATATATATACACATATATATATACACACATATATATATACACACATATATATATACACACATATATATTTTCTAACTAAAAGCTGTTAATGAATAATAACACTTATGTGCAAGGATGGGAGTGAATGGAGGTATAGATGATATGATAGAAGGTTAATACAATTATGTGCCCTATAATGACATTTCGGTCAATGAGAGACCACAAAGAGCAAGGTGGCTCCATAATACTATAATTCTTTATTTTTACTGTACTTTGCCTATGTTTATACGTTTTACTGTACTTTGTCTATGTTTATATGTTTAGAAACACAAATACTTGTCATTGTATTACAATTGCCTATACTATTCAGTACAGTAACATGCTATACAGATCTATAGCCTAGGAGCAATACCATATAACCTACGTGTGTAGTGGGCTGCACCATCCAGGTTTGTGTAAGCACATTCTGCGATGCTTGCTCAAAGACAAAATTGCCTAATAATGAATTTCTCAGAATGTATCCCCAGTATTAAACAACGAGTGATGGTAACCATTGAAGATGGGTAATGATCAAATGGGGCTTCATTATATAAATATTGATTTCAAATATATTTAAACATTTTTACAATAAAAAATTTTAAATAATAAAAGGTTTGGTATCCAAATACAGGTGTGTAGATCAGACTGTGGAAAGCTAAGAAAAATAAAGCATAAATAGCCCTTATGAAATTAAATTTATTATTTATTTAATTTAAATGATTGTCATTTCTTCTTAGGTGATATTTCTTATTTTTTTGGCATTCAAATATGTATTCTTTTATAAAGTGATAATAATGATAGCATTAGTAATAATAGCTCTTATTTATAAATAATAGATCTGCAGCCTGGTATTGTAACTGAAGATTCAATGGAACACATCCAGTAAGTTTTATTTTAAAATCGATATTTTCTTTTAAAATTCATGCTTTTGAGGTTTATTGAAACACGTTATTCATGTACATGTTGTCTGTAGCTGCTTTCATGATACAAACTTGAGTTGAGTAGTTGTGATAGAGACCATATGGCCCACATAACCTAAAATATTTGAGCCTTTGCAGAAAAAAATTGTGGATCCCTGATCTTCCTCTACTTCTGACTTATAGTATGTGCTCAATAAAAGCTTCCAACTTTTCTGTCTGAAAGAACCATTCCCTTAGGTCTCTTGTAGGTGACTGAGTACTAATTGGACACATTAACTTAAGCTATTAATGGCTGATAATAGCTTAATATGTCACCACTCCCAGATAGGACACTAAACCCCCCTGCCTTAAAATGCAGATGTTAGCAGAAGTACACAGCTAATAAATCAATTCTAAGAGCTGAGAATACCGAGCTCTTTTCTGGTGGGGGCACTTTTTCCCACTGAGATCCTTTACCGCTTTCTTCCACACATCCTACCAGCTGCTCTTGGTGTTTATTCTATTTTTATAATTGCATGGATTAGTATAAATATATCATAAACCCACACGGACTAGCTAGTATTCTCTACAATAGTTAAGCCCTTTAGGAAGTAAGTGATGGGGATATAGCGTAGTAGTTAAGAGTGTGATGTTCGGCACCTAACAGACCTCACTGCTTGCTTTGTTAGTAAATAGCCGTATAATTTAGAATCAAAGGCTCAGTGTCCCTGTCTATAAAATGGAGATGGCAACAGCATCCATCCTTCCGAGGTTTTGTGAGGATTAATGAGAAATTTCTAAGAAAGTGCTTATCAGAGCTAACATTTATGAAGCATTTACTATTTTTATTCCTTGAGTTGCAAATGTCAGTACCTCCTAGGGATAATGATCCTTGCTAAAATGGGTTTGTCCAGGGACCAAAAGTTAGAGTGTGTGACCTTCAAAACTGCACCCTGTCCCAACCCCCTGTTCCTTCTCACCGTCATTAATCCCTGACTCAAAACCTAATTTCAGAAGGGGAACAGCTTTCATAAAGTCACAGGTGCCTCACATGAAAATCTCTTCCAAATGTACAATTCTGTAACTCTGCATGCTACCTTAATAGTCTACAGTTCCAGTAATAAAGATAGGTTAATTTCGCATTAGATGAGCTTTGATGTACATTCAGAACTCAGAAACTGGCTCATGTGTTCATTAGTGGAAATCTTGCCTAAAGTGGGTCATGTAGAACTAGAGGAAACTGAGAGACTTTGGGAAGGAAGAAGGCATTTTCCTTCGTGCGTCGTCTTCCATTATTTTTGATTAGTTGAAGGGTTGTGAAGCAAATGAGTCTGATATGTTTTTTAATGTGTCACCGGTACACAATGCTTTGCGACATCACCAGGGAAGTGATTTTTCTCGTGATATTGGCATCCTGTGCCAGACTTCAGCAAAGGGTGTAGGCGGCTGTTATGGCCTCATTACGAGTGAGGGTCACACCTTGTATAACCTTCTCATTTGGCACAATAGCAGTGAGACACCCTTCACAGTGATTTAGTCTTATCTAGAGATGCCATGTGAAGAACCTGAGCTTGAATGAAATAGTCCCACGGCTCACTTTGCCAGTAATCTCGGGCAAAGTGCCTCGCCTTTGAGACTCTCAGTTTCCTCATCCAAAAATAAAAATAAAAAATAAAAAATTATGTTTGCTGAGACAAAGAATGGTGTCTGTAAAGCACATTGCACAATTTCTGTCACATAAGCTCAAATTGACCTATTATCTGTGAAGCTCCATGAAGAGCACTTTGAACACAGTAAGCACTCAATAAATGGTAGTTATCATCATTACTCTTACCATCTTCATTGTCACTGTTGTCATCAAAAGCTGACCGACAAGATCAAAAATTATTTTTACAGGCCTCATATTCTATAATGCCTCAAGTAGAAACAGTAATAGGCTCAAGTGATAGTATGAACTTCAAATTTAAATCTACACCTACAAAGAGTTATATCTCCTCTGGGCCTTTGACTCTGGCTAGGGTTAAAGGAATTTTTATGTAAAAAATAGAGAAGCCATCCTATATGTTGAAAAGAATGTCCCCACCCCACCCTGCCCTTTCTGTCTGTTACAAACTATGTGATGGAGAGATTCCCCAGGCTGCAAACAAAGGAAAGAACTCAGAGTCTCCACTTAAAGTGAGCTGAAATGCTTAAGAAAACAAAGATATCCCCTGCCTAAGTTTCCCCAGTGCATATGGGGAATCAGATTCACACTTCCACTTAACAGTCACAGGAATTGCACACCTATGGTGATTTCCCAAGAGTGCAATGCTGAAAATGTACCCCAAGGTGTCAAGAACAAACGTGTATAATGATGTCTGCCTTGCCTGACTACAACTGCGGTGTACAAGTCTTAATGGGTTTAAGAGAAATGGGAACTGACACTAAAATGACATTTTTTGTGAACAAGATATATTAAACGTTTTCCACACTTCTTCCTCGCTCCCTCCCTCCCCTATCAACAGGATTTTCCCCTTTGAGAGAAAAGTTTTCAGTCTGTGATTCCATACTGTGGTAGCAATGCAGATTCAAATGCAGGTATTTTTCATTATTCATACTAAACTCTCGCCTGAAAGGGGAAACAGATCCCACATAAGATTTCTCTGCTGCCTCCCTCCTTACATCCTTTGTGTGTATTTAGGTCCTGCAATATCTTTTCCCTTCTTTTCTCAACCTCCCGTTAGGTCAGACTGACACGAAAAGCATCATCATCTACCAGCTTCCTAAGTGAAGTTGCGTGCTTACATAACATAGAGAATCAGAAGTCATTTTTTTCCTATTACATCTCAACAAAGGGTTAGTACCGTGAGATTTCCTAACCATAGCGAATATGAGCAAAATCAACAGAGGAGAATTGGGTTCCATCTTCATGATCCTCTCTCAGTGTTAGGAAGAAAGACCTGAAGGATATTGCCTATCTGACTCCATTGGGAGTACATTTTGAAGTCTTTGAATTCAATAGATCACACCCAATGTGGTTCTTCTTTTGTAGTACCATATAGCCTTGTACAATGGCATCCTACATTGCTCTTGGCCCTCTTGCCCTGTTCTGTATAGACCTTACCTACACTCCTTTCTCCAGTACCAAAATGACCACTTTTGTGTGGTCATTTGTGTTTGGCTCTTATAAGTGTATGCTGGGCTAGCAGCCTGGAAACTAGGTTTCCACACCATGCTTTGCCTCTAGTTAGCTGTGAGCATTTAAGGAATTCCCTTACCCTACATAGAGAGTTCTTCATTTCTTCACACGTAAATCGAGACACAAGAATACACACACACAAAAAATTCATGTCTTGTATCAACACGAATCCACTGGTAGTTGCTCCATGAATCACTGTGTTGAATGGACCCTGGTACTGCTACCCAGACTCAGCAGAAAAGCCATCAAGGTTGTATGGGTTCTGCCCACACTAAGATGAGAGGAAGGAGGTGGAGCACTGAACACAGCTTTCTGTACCTAGAGTAGCTTCAAATGATATTTATACAAAAAGTATTTTATAATGTTAACAGTAAGAGTTGAGTTGCTAAAGATTTTTCCTTGAGAATGAGATTATTCCTTTCAATACTGTGAAGTCATGTACGGAAGTTGCTAATGGATCCGGCAACATGTCAGTATACCAGCAAGATCACCTTCCCTGTCCCTGCTGCCTTGTCATGTTATTTCTGTGTGAAAAAGTGAGAATTCAAGTACTATTGGAGTAAGAGAATTTTTAACAAGTTTTGAGTCTCACTATGTCTTCATTGTATTGTAAGCACACCTAAAAAAATTGCCTACCTGATTCTATTGGGAGTGCATTTTCAAGTCTTTGAAATCAATAGATCACCCCTAATGTGGTTCTTCTTTTGTAGAACCGTATAGTCTCATGCAGTGGTATCCTACATTGCTCTTGGCCCTCTTGCCCTGTTCTGTATAGACCTTACCTACACTCCTTTCCTCAGTACTAAAATAACCACTTTTCCCTGTTCTAATATGCATGCCTTTCATCTAAGGAAAGATGACAGTAAAATTCATATAATGATGCTCATAAAGTTAATCCACACTCACAGGGCACAGATCAGAAAGAGCATGTATACAAGGGGTTAGAGATCTTAGCGGCTCCCTGAGAAATCTGCTCACTTTAAGTGAACTTGGACACACATGTGTCCTAGCCACAGGAAAGAAATGGGATACTAAACAAAGCTTTCTGGGAATGATCAGAAAGAGAAGTTGCAGTCAACCAATCTATCCGATTCACAAAACAACATATATATATTTTAATGACATATACATGTTATTTTGTAAATGAAATATTATTTTGTGGATAACATATATGCTGTATGTAACATATATGTATGTGTGTGTGTATATATATGTGTGTGATTATGTGGGTGTATATATATATTCCTAGGTATAATATTAACTTGTTGAATTTTTTATAACCTTTCTAGAATTTCCTTTCCTGACAGGCATGAATATATATCAAAGTTTCTTTTTTCCCAAGGATAAACAAATTGTCCCAGCACCATTAATTGATGTACTAATGTGCTCAAAACACAAAATAAATGAAAACAAAAATTAATCAAGAAAATATTTACCAGTTACACAACGAAAGATAACAAAGGTCATTTAAACACATGTATATGCAAATTAACAAAAGTAAAGCAGCATGTATTTCACAAATGATTAATAAGTTCATACAAAAATAATCAAGCTTTGAATAATAATAGAAAGGAAATAGGTTGTCCACCTGTTTCGTTAGCAACTTTCAAACAAGGAGTACGTCCCGATTGGCATGAATTGGTGAAATGGGCCCCCTCAACACTGCAGATGAGAGTGTAGAAAAGAAAAGCATAGAAAGGAGAAAGCCAGTAAGCTTTCAAAATACTTGTAGTTTTAGACCTAGAAATTGTATTATGGCTCCTTGGCTCTCTCTTCTCCTGATACCATGGTTCTTAGAAACCTAGAGTAAAGTAAAAAGTACCCTTGGAGATTTTATTAGACACCCGTTTTACATCACACTATGAGAATCAAGCAAAATACAGATTCCAGCTTGGCTCAATGTTAAAGACTTTTGCAAAGGTTTTCAAGGTTCCAAACATATAAGGACTGTAAAATTTCCCTCCCACCAATCTAATTTCTCTCTCACTACACCTTTGCTATGACCCACATCTCAATGAGGCTTAGGAAGAGGGGATGCGAAGCTTCATAGAGAGGTAGAGGGGACCTTCACCTTAAAGGGAGCTAAAGCTTTCAAAACAACCCTGGTCCTGTTCTGAAAAGTATTTTCTCATCCTTGATATCTCATCCCCTGCCATATCTTAAAAATCCCAAATTATAGAATTTGTACATTAGACTGGGGAAACCATTATTATGTTTATTTATACCCATTATACTCTTGTCAATGGAGGGCTGTGACTCTCCAACTCCAAGATCTGAGACTTACCTGTCTAATAAAGTTTCCAGTTCAATTAGACAAAGAGGACTCAAACAAAGACATCCCATCATGCAAATACAGAAAATTCAAAGCCAGCTTGCTTTGAAGAATTTGGACAGAATTTAAGTTAAAGGTGCCCTATTAGGAGTTTTATGAGTTCATTTCAAGTAACTTTCTTTAAATTTTAGACTTTCATAGGACTATTATGCCTCAATAAATTCTAATTCAGATAATTTATACTATGCAAATAATCTAAATTATTAATATAAAGTTATATCTCAAGGTACCTGATATGGTATTATTTTTAACAGTGAAAAGAAAGAAAAAGAAATATGGTCTCAAATAGGGCACTGGGTATTTAAATTTTGGTACTTTCATTTGATAAAATAATATATGGCTACTCAAGAGCTGGGTGCAGTGGCTGGCACCTATAATCATAGCTACTCAGGAGGCTGGGGTGGGAGGATAACCTAAGCTCAGAAGTTTGAGGTTACAGTGAATTATGATCATGCCACTGCACTCCAGCCTGGGTGACAGGGCGAGACTGTCTCTCTAAAACAAAACAAAGAAAGAAAAGAAAGAGAAAGAAAGAAAGAGAGAACGAAAGAAAGAGAGAAAGGAAGGAAGAAAGGGGGAAGGAAGGAAGGAAAAAGAAAAGAAAAGAGAGAAAGGAAGAGAGAAAAAAGAAACATACTGTTTAATTTTGCTGTGATTTGGCAGTGTGCAAATTATAACATTAAATTTAAAAACTGCTACAACTCAAAAATAATAAATTGTACCTCTAAATTGTATTTTGTGGCTTTGGGAAACCAAATTAACAAATATTACAACTGTAGATATTTTTCTTCCACACTACGTAACAAATAGAAATGGAAAACTTAACGGTCTTTTTCACACTATGAGTGATTCTATAACTACAGTAGTTTAAAAAGTAGATTTCTGGCTAGTAGTCATCAGTTTATTTATTTATTTTTGGCTGCTTGACTGTATTGTCACTTCCATCTCAAACTGTAGAAAGTGGCTTTATTTCTGTGGTCATTTTCCAGGAAGGAGGTGAGGAATGATTAAAATAAACTTTTTATGGTGTGAATTACTGCATACATGAAAATGAATAGAGGATAACAGGAAAAAAGTGTTAAAATGCAAATAAATAAGCCTCAGTGGAACAAAAACATCACGGACCTTTGGGTCATTCACAGTTTAATCCACAAAAATGTACAAAATGTAGACAAAAAATTGGAAGCAAATATGCTGAATAATTTCTCCCTGCATAGTTTGATATCTTGGATAATTTTTTATCATCTTATTTGTCTCGATCGTCCAAATTTTCAAATGCATATTATTCGTATAATCTTAAAGTCCAAACATAGCTAAGAAACAATGTTCGCAGTGAGTATCAACTGCGCTTTTGTTACCACCTAAAGACTCCTTCTGGCTGTGCTAAATTATTTTCATCAGGAACAATCATTTCAAGGTACATAGAACTGGTCACAGTATTTATCAAAAATTAAAAACCTTGTCAAACTCTTTTCTTTATGGCTTTATAAACAGTTTGTTGTCAAAAGTGAGCTGTTTGCAAAAGCAACATAAAAAGGGAAAAAAATGGTCTCTTTCCCTTTTATACTGAGTGAAGGGTTTCCTATAATTTTAGCAGTCATTAAGATTTACTAATGAAGACTTGAGATAGAGTCTAAAAAAGGAAATACAAAGTTAAGTGGCTCATTTCGTGTTTTGAGAGGTAAAATATTAAGAGGAAAAAGAAGTGCTATCTCATCAATCACAAACCACATAAAGCTGGAAAAGTCATGCAGCCCTTTCCAGCAGCAGCCCGCGCTGAAGAACGGCATTGGCCTAGCGAGACTACCTTCTAATAGGTGAGAGGCTATTTCAATCTCCATACCCATTTAATCACAGGGCTGTTTGAGCACTGACTGCCAATTATCCTGAATTATGTGTCATATAGTAGGTTTGTGATCTGGGCTATAGTGCATTAGGGACCCAGCAGAGACCACCATGTTGATTTGACAAGGTTCTTAGAGCTGGGATGAATAAATTAATGCAACAGAATGATTCTGATGAAGAGAAGATTGAAGCCAAGCTCCCAGAGATGGAAGATTAGTGACTAATCAGCTCTAACACCTGGTTTCCATAACACTCTAATAACAACTCCTGACGCTGCTGTAACAAAACACAACAGCCTCTGCCAGGGGGAGAAATGTGAAATAGCCTCAAAAGTTATGGCTCGGGGTGTTTTAGTCACGACAGAATGTATTTCACCTGTTCTTGGAAAATCAGAACAGCAGCAATTATTTTCCCTCTTTATAATGGGAAGGAGGGTGGGAGATGGTTGTGAATTCAAAACAACCAGGCTCCCCGGAGAACAGATTGAATGAGAAATCCACTGCTGCTAACTTTTCAATTCAACTTACATCAGCTGAAAAGAGGAGGAGGAACACAAGGAGTAGGAGGGAGAAGAGAAGGAGGTCGAAATAGCTAATGCTGATGGGACTGTAGAGTCACATCATAGGGAGGAGAGAGACCCCAGGTGACAGTCAGCTCTAACCTCTTACCTTTAGGCTCAGAGTAGACAAAAACAAATGCCATCCAGACCCCAAGTCTCACTATTTTGGTCACATTGGAGAAGAGTTCAGGACCCAAACATCTGTCATGTAAAGCTAAGATGCAAGATCACCAAATGTCTCATATAACTGCAAGCGAATACCTTAAAATATACCTGTCATTGCTGCTCCTAACATGAGGGATTGCTCTTTGGGCCAATGCCCTTAATCAGCATCAGAGGAGGCAGCCTTTTGAGAACCAACATTATCCATTCCCTGTCTTCCCTTTTGCCATGGCTTCCTAAAAGTCAGGTCACTCATTATGACCTGTTTTGTCAAATCAGAAAGCACTTCACTGAGACCTTGATTCTAACAGATTATCTGAAATGGATGCTGAAATCACATTTTGATGTCTACCAGAACAGAGGCATCCAAGCATTAGAACCAATCTCTTATGACTGCTTAAAAACAAAGTGAAACTAGAGTAGCATCTCTGTACTAACCTGCGAATGACTCTGAGACCAAGAAAACCCAATTGAATGACAACTGTGTGTCTGAAGACATGGCGGGTGGAGAGGAGAAGTTAGTTATTCACATCACAACAACAACAGCAAGGATTTGTTTAGCAGAAGACATAAGGTGAGTTCTCCCAGAAATGTTCAAACATGATTTGATACACTAGAATGAGACTCACAGTCAGCCTTGAAAGGAAACACCACCATTGTAAGGCAGATTGGCCTGTCTTTGTGGTTTCTATTCCCAACTGCAATTCCTATTCACACAATTGGACTTTCTAGTCACAATCTGTTTAATTCTGTAACTTAATCTCTAGCCAGGGGCTGGATTGTCGATTTGGATTTCATGTTTCTTTTTTATTCCGGTTATTTCTCCATATAGGACACATTGCTGTGCTCCACATTCAGCTCATCAGTCCAGGAAGACCCACGTGCTTTTTTACGGTGACTGGCAGAGAAGCCAACTACACATTGTCCCAAGGGTTGTTTCCAAATTTGGTCTCCCAAAGGGAAGCTCGCTAAACTCCTCTAGGCATGCTTTAATTCCGACCCATTTTCACAGTTTCATTTGTTCTAATACCTGATTCTTTCTTCGCTTCAGCAAGCCTCACCAAAGGGAAGACCGGAGGAGAGCCCTGTTGTTTTATCTGTATGACATTAGAAATCATTTCCTTTACCTCTTTTCCAGTTTTTCACCCCCAAACTCCAATTTAAGCCTGGGTCACAAAGGTCAGAAGTACATCTTTCAAACACAGCAGCATGTTGTCAGGCAATACGTCTATATTAATTTATGCCTGATCTTCTCTTTTTTATTGTTTTATTTCCTCTCTTTGTTGAAATGTTTTAGTGAGTATTGTTAAACCAAGAGTCCTCTTCACATAAACTTTCAAAGCAAAAGTCAGGGAGGAAAAAAAGGTTGATCTTTAAAAGGGTTGATTGAACTTGTACTCATAAAAGCCACATTCTGGGCCATTGGCTGAATTCCACTCTGTTAAATGTTTTTATCTTCTTACCCTAAATTATAAATGCCCTAAACCATAAAGCAGAAAAAAGCCAGGTATCATCAGTGTTCTGCTAAAAAATTTCCCTGCCACCACCAAAGGAATCTGTAGATATTCCGAGGAGTCAGTGTGGTTTGGTGGGAGCAGCGGGTAGTAATTTCGTGTGTACAAACCTTAGGAGAGAACATAATTGCTATGATAACAAAACCCTCAAATCTGAAGTGAGACAGGCTTTGTCTCCTGTCCCCGCAAAGACACACCAAAGGTTTCTGAGGGCCGTGAAAGGAGCATGGAGGCTTATGGTTAATCTGAAAATGTGTCATTTTTCTAAATAATGATAGCCAAAAAAAAAATGACCTTCAAGAAATGGAACCAAATGACATCACTAGTCTACCTGTCACCATTGTGTGGTTCTATAGCATAAAGTTTATATAAGACTAACTAGATAAGAATCTCATGGAAGAACTTGAAATCTATGATAGTGATCGCTGATGGGTTATAGATGCTTTTGAGAATATGTTATATTCTCAAATATTCAAATATATGTTGGACTTCTAAACATATATTCAAATATATGTTGAAACATATAAAAGCCTCACTCAAAAATAGGGCATGTATTTATACATGCATAAAAATGTGCATATTATTTCAGAGGTTGTATTCAAGGATGAGAATCACTGTAGAAGATATCAATAATGTAATTTATTTTGGTCATTTACAATATCACATCAGCACATTAAAATCCCCAAATCAACTAGGTTCTTAGTTTCAAGGTGCAGAAGGGAAACTGGTGTGTTAAATGGGTTATGGTGAGCAGAAAAAGAAGCCCTAATTATGGCCCTTCTCTCCCCAAAGATTCAGTCATGCAACAGTGAAATCAGGGTGTATTTGTCGGGGTTCTCCAGAGAAACAGAAACAGTAGGGTAAAGATAGATAGATGAGGCCAGGCGCTCTAACATATGTGTGTATGAACATATATGTGTAGAGCAGGGGTCCCTAACCCCCAGGGGCCACACAGCAGGAGGTGAGCAGGTGAAGAAGCTGAGTTCTGCCCCCTGTCAGATCAGCAGCGGCATTAAATTCTCAGAGGAGCGCGAATCCCATTGTGAACTGCACATGCGAGGGATCGAGGTTGTGTGCTCCTTATGAGAAAACCAAGGCTGGGAAAAGCTAAGTGTTTTCTGCTGCATCTTACCTTAAAGACTAAGAATAGAATTCCAGGTTTAGGTTCTAACTCTTGTGCTCTACACCTTTACACCCAACTGGGCCAGTTTGAGATCAGCTTTTGGCAGAAGTCACCAAAAGGTAGCCTGAGGACTGCAAAGTAGATCAGTGTAGGTCAGGCAGCACAGATGGGATGAGGGCGTAAGAAGGAGAAATGAGTTGACTTTCTTGGGTAGGTCAGCATAGGAATGCTCTTCTAACACAGAGCTGGGCTATGTTCAAGAGGACATATTAGAATATATACACATAAGGGTCAGGCTTGTACTGATTCCAAACACTCGCAAAGTGATCCTGATCACTTCTGCAGCCATTAAAGTGCTCTGACATGATATTGAAATAGTGTTGAAATGAGACACTTCCCTCCACCCCCCAACAAAAAACAAAAACAAAAACTTTTTACCATCACAATGTTTATGTGTAATTTATAAACGGTATTTTCAGTATTTCTTGTACTTTCCTAACTTGGTATAAGGTCCTCTATAAATGCTAACTATTGCTTGCATTTAACAAGCCTCAGTCACAAGAAAAATGCACAGCTCCGTTGCTGCAATCAGGCAAAAAAGGCTGAAAGGAAATGGCCTATTCTAGGTTATAACAACATAAACTTTAATTCCTCACCTCATGCTCTTCCCCCTATTTTCTGATTCAAAAATATATTCCGAGCTAAGAATTCATTTTCTCGGATATCTTCAAAGAGTATGTTTTCAACAACAGGAATTAGTATAATTCTCTTTGAAAACACCAAGTAATCTGTTCTTTTGAGTGAATTTTGTGTACATAGGTTGAGTGGCCAAAAATAGATCTAAAAATAACGTATGTTTTCTGAATATAGAGGTTTCAAAGGTATGTGTGCTTCTAGGCAAAAAATAAATGTTAGAAAATGTCCTTTTTCTAAGTCAAGAAGAAAATTACAAAATTACTGTTAATGTATAAAATTAGGTGTGTACTTAAAATTGATTTACCATAGTAGTTGTAGTAAATTAATCATATTGGTACATTTCCACTTCTGAAATCCATATCTGAAATGTGTCTTAAAAATTCAGTAAGTGGCCATTTTTTTCTCACGGCTCAGGTGGTTCATATTGCTGATTTTGCAAGTTGGCTTGCTTGGATGTGAGCCATTAATATATAAAATACATATGTTACAGAATCATAGAATCTGAGGGCTGGCAAAAATCTTTAAAATAATCTGGTTGATCTCTTATTTTTCTGAAGAGGAAAAAGTGTGTCCCCAAGTTGAAACTCAAACAGCTGGGTTGGTAAACAACAAGAAACCTAAACATGATACATTTATTCAACAAATGTTTACTGGCCTGATTCTGGGTAGATAGGCACATTCAGATATCACAATATAGCCACATAAATTATCAAAATCAAGGAAGAGGTTGGCTATATTGTCTAGCTGACAAAGATGTTTCACAACATGTTATTTGTTCCTGGTATGTAAATATGATACACTGCTAAGAGGACAACTGTGACTTAAGTATCTGTTTTCCTAATAAGTACTATACATATCAGATTTGCACACTGGGAAATTGAGGAAAGATGATTTCCTAAAAACTGTATACATCAAGTAAGTGGTGGAGTCAGGACCAATATGAAGCGGAATACATCATCAAACCAGCATCATTTTCATGGTTGACCTTACATACAAGCCATACCAGCATTTCTAATCATGTGCGTGAATGAGAGGTATAAAATGAGGGATGATTCACAGAAAACCATGGTGAGAAACAGCATAATGGGCCTTTAAATGCAACCTTGCCTAAATTGTATAAATAATATTAGTTCCCCTTGATTTGTAGGAAAGAGGCAGGAGAACATAAATTAAGACCTAAGGAAAATAATCTTTTTTTAAGAAACAGTGGAACACTTTAATATCAGCATTTCTTCTTGCATTTAAACACAACATTGATATTTTTAAAATTAGTTGTAAATATTTAAAAATGCATTAATATTAATAGAAAGTGCACACATTTCATAAGATCACCTCAAAATAATTTTGAACTCAAAAGAGCACGAGGTTATTATTATCATTACTTTGGGAGGGTTTCCCTGCAAAAGCAACAGTGGAGGAGTGGGATCTGGTATCACCACGTCTGAAATGTAAAAACATAAGAAATTGTAGGCACACGTGGAAATTTTCTTCATTTCCATTCCTCCCGTCAAAAATAAAAAAGTTACTTCTCTGACAACTTATTTTGGCTTAGAGTCAAAAAGGCAAATGGAAAATCAGAATTTATGGATTTTTTAAAGAATGTAGACATTTTCTAATGTTGTAAAAACAATAAAGAACATAAAATGTTTAGAAAATATTTTAGAAAGAACTCTAAAGCCTTTCTTAAAAGTATAAATTCATCTAATCACGATTAGTCCTAAAATAATGTAGCAGAAAATAGAAGAAAAACTCAGAATGATGTTCCAAATTAAAATACAACTGGGATTACAGTGTGCTTTAAAAAGGCAACAAAAGTCTCTCAAGAAAATATAAAACATTTATTTAATGCTTAATGGATACACTGAAGTACTGTAGCAACCTATTTGAAGAATAATTTCACATTTACTCAATTGGATTTAGAAAAAAAAATCATTATAAATATATAGATATTAGCAGAACTTCCCCTGCAAGTATTTTTTAAAATTTAAGTCAATATCATTAGCTATGCTATTTTCCATCCAAGCATCCAAATAGCAAATGCTAAAATAATGTTTACCTGAAATGTTTTACTACGTATTTAAATTTTAATAAGAAAACAAATGACAACTGTATACTGAATTTGATAGGGATATTAGTTATTATGAAATCTTTCCTAATTTAACTTTCATTATGGATAAAACCTCAAATAAGATCTGCTATTTATAAATGTATTTGCCTTTCTTGTAGAAATAAACAGAACTACCCACACACAGTACCTGGACACAGAGGATAAGGAAAAGTGCTTTAATTCTAAACCCTTCTAAAGGAATCTGAGGTTTCAGGCAAAATGTAATATGTGGATTTCTTAAGTTTCATAACAAAGCAAAAATAGAACAATTTGGTATTCTTAATGTGTTGTGTTACAATGAAAAATTAGCATGCTTCTCCTTCACTCTACTGAAAGCAACGTACTTCACAATTTTTATTACATACAGAATTGGCCATGTAAAATTTTAATATTTTCATTAGTATATTTATTTGCAAAAAGTAGGAACTCATTTATATATTTTCTGTTTTATGCAACATTATTTCTTTACTCGTGTTGAGCCAGACACATTTAAATATTGCGTGCTTTACACAACAGTATATCTGTTATATGTGTTGACCTAAAGGTGGGATACGTGAACAAGAAAATACACATACACACACACACACACACACACACACACACACACACAAACGAGCGGCTCCCTAGGAAAAAAAAAAACAGAGAACTGAGAAAAGAAGAATTTTGAAATGTAAACACTTGTGTTGATTCAAAAGAAAGAATGAAGAGAAAGAAGGAAAAGGCGAGAAAGAAAGGGTGAGAAGGAAGAAGAAAAACTAGTTTTGAATAAGACCACAGAGGAATAAAGGATTACCGCTAGATTTGTTTCTATAACAAACTTAAACAGCCTCATTTCAGGGAAAATCAGGCCAACCAGGTCAGCATTTTTGTTGTCATAGGTTCTAAAATACCATGACTGCTGTGCCGAAATTTTCTACAAAATCTTTTAGGAAAATCATTGCGCAAGTATATACCATGGTTATTCCTAGCGCATCTCTGTGCTATTCTGCTTGAAGACTCCCCTTACGTAACAAAGAAACACTAGGATTGAGAAATCAAAATACAGTTGACCCTTGAACAATGCAGGTTTGAACTGCGTAGGTCCCATTACATGTGGATTGTTTTTGGTTTTTGTTTTTTGTTTTTTTTTTCAATAAAAGCTACAGCCAGCGTGCCTGCCTTTCCTGGCTCCCCTTTTACCTCCTCCACCCCTTCAGCTTCTGCCACCCCAGAGGCAGCAAGACCCACTTGTCCTCTTTCTCCCCCTCCTAGGCTTGAAGATGACCAGGATGAAGAACTTTATGATGATCCATTTCCACTTAATGAATAGTAAATGTATTTTCTCTTCCTCATAATTTTCTCAACCACAATTTCATTTCTCTAGCTTACCTTTTTTTAGGAATGCAGTATATAACACATATAACCTATAAAACCTGTGTTAATTGACTACTGATGTTACCAGTCAAGCTTCCGTTCAACAGGAAGCTATAAATTAAGTTTTGGGGGAGTCAAAAGTCATACACAGATTCTCAACTGCAAGGTGAAGTTGGTGACACTAACCCCTGTATTGTTCAATGGGCAACTCCCGCCTTCTGACAGCAAAACTCAGCCTGTCTACAGATAACTGGTCAGGTCAGGCGGCGGCACTTTCTTTCTCCGGGAAGAATGAAGAAATAGCCAAGAAAAGTAGGGAGAGAAAAGGATTTGTAAAGAAGCACTTATTCTGTTTGGGAGGCTGAGGCGGGCAGATCACCTGAGGTCAGGGGTTCGAGACCAGCCTGACCAACGTGGAGAAACCCTGTCTCTACTAAAAATACAAAATGAGCCCCGTGTGGTGGCACATGCCTGTAATCCCAGCTACTCAGGAGGCTGAGGCAGAAGATTCGCTTGAATCCGGGAGGCGGACGTTGTGGTGAGCCTAGATATCATGCCATTGCACTCCACCCTGGGCAACAAGAATGAAACTCCATCTCAAAAAAAAAAAAAAAAAAAAAGGAAGCACTTACTCTGAAAAGGGCTGGAGAGGAACGGAAGGTGGGAGGACACAGCCAAAGGACCAGGTCAAACAGTACCAACAGGACTCAGCCTTGGCCCAAGTTGGCTCCTTCTCCAGCTTCGCCAAGTCCTGCCTTTCCATGAATATCCTCCACGTCTGCTCTGTTGTCTCAGCCTTCTCTCCTATTCTCCCAACTAGGAAGGAAGTTCTTCTTTATTATTTTAAAACTTTGCACATGCAGCTAATATCAGGACATTCCAGCTCCAAGACTGTGCCCAAACCACAGGGTGACCAACGGTCCTGGTTTGACAGGGGCTAAGGACCTGAAACTTTCAATGATAAAACAGAGTTGTGGACAACTCTGTAAAAGTTGGTGAATCTATCTCTGAATTTCTTCTATTGTCCTCTGGCCCCACCAGCCATGAAGACATTCCTAATGAAGTCAGGTCAAGAAATGAACTACAAACTAAAAGTTGTAAGTATATAAGCAGAAATTCAGCGGGGAGCCGGGGTTGCGGGGGTGGGGCTCAAGAAACCTACGCCACCAATAAGCCTTATTTACTAAAGGGGAAAAATGCCTACAGTGTATAAATCCTATAGTAACTGTTAATCCTCTCCAGGAATGAAATAAAATAAAATAAAAAAGAATGTAGCTGATAAATTACTTACCGAAAATGTAATGCTCAAAGCAGTAACCACAATACAATAATTATACGACTTGATTAAACATAAAAATAAATCTGTCTTTTACTTCTCTCTCATCCCGTTAGTACGTACAATGAAAGGAAAAGCCTTTTTAAAAGGTACCTCACGGCCAATTTTTTCCCCCTTAATTCTGCATCGTAACAAACAAAGGTAAAATCAAAAATCATGCAAGCGGTGAAGTAGAAGCTTTTTCCTGTTATCCTTGGAAGGATGAGGACAGTGCCAATTAAAAATATGTTTCCATGTAGCTTTCAGAAAATGCCTTTTTAACTCCTTGAGAGTGGAATGCCTTATTAAGAGAAAAAAAATCACAAAGTATAACAGCTTATAAATCATCAATATTTGGGGGTGAAATCAATCCATTTGTCTCAATTTAAACATACGGAACCTCTCCTAACCTCATTGATGTATATAAGGTTCTCTGTTCATAAAGTCTGAAATGAAAATGAGCATTGAATCTCTAAAAATATATGCTAACAATGTTGCCTTTCTTAAGGTAACAAGAAAAAGTTGGATAATTCAATAGAACATGAGCAAATTAAACTATTTCTGCTTTAAGTGGAAGAATGTGGCCCCATTTTATATGCGTGTGTGCAAGTCTCAATGTGACTCTTTTCCCTCTGTTGAGATACTTGACTTTGATTTTATTTTTATCATTTACGCTGTGAAATGCCAACACCATGCCATTCCTACAAAACACGCTTTTATCCATTTTTTTTTTAAGTTCACGTTCAAGTTAGAAAGTAAGTCATATCGCCAGATCTCGTTTTGAAAAGGTTGTACTCGCCACAGGCTTAACACAACGGTGGGAGACAGTGTGGAAGGGATCGATAAAGTAGTATTACCCTTTGTGATGGTGAGGCTCCGCAGGACATTCCGGCTTAACTCTGCTGTCTGCGCTAACACTCCATCCTTACCCACTGGGAAAGTGCACTAAAGCACAGTTATGGACCAAGAGCCCCGACCAGGATGAGAAACTCACTTCCTTCACCTTGTTCTGGAGCCGCTTTAATAAAGCCAGAGAAAATCTGGATGCTTTAATGTGGAGTTTCCAATTTGAAAGCCAAATGTATAAACACCCTGAAGTCTGAGGGCATAGGTCTTGACATTCAGACAGGTCTATGCATGGTCCAAGACGCTTCACTTTGACAGAAGGCCTATAAATGCAGAATTTCTTCCACCTCAACTTGTCACTTGTGATTTTAAAAAGCCAGCTTTTGTGATTGTAGGGATGCAATACTGCAATGTAATGAGTTTATATTAATAGCCTCCTTCACTTGCCAAGTGGACTTAGGGAATAATATGTTAAATTTCCCTCCAAATTAAATGTTTATAATTTCTCATTTGTCACTGTAAGAATAAAATTACAACTCTATGGTTATGAATGTTATAAGGTCTGAGGATATGATCATGCTGTTACCATTCATGTTAATAGGTGGCAGCTGAGGCTGCTCAGGCCTGAGACTTTGAGGCTTTGCGTGTTTTATAGTAGGGACCATATGGACCTGCTGCAGTTCGTCTTTTCTAATAAGAGTACTGAGGCTTTCATTTAATTAAACAGAGCTCACTTCGCTATTCAGGCAAAGTTAATGACAAGTAATACAGATTCCTTTATAGGGCCTTATGACAATACAACTGATTTAAGTCCTTTCCCGTGTTCCTATTATCTTTCAGGCCACATGTCAACTGCTTTCCCTGACACGAATATGGGGAGCCACCTCCCTCTGGTCCTCTCTCCCATCAAATACACCTCTGATTCGAATTGAACTTTCTCTGAGTCTTGACACCCATCCTATCCCCTAGGATAAGACCAAGGCACTTCTCATTAATCTATTGTATCTTCTAATACCTGATCTAAGAATTGTCATTATTTGACAAAAGCCAACAGTGAACCTACCAGGGAATACATGCAAGTAAATAAGGATGGGTCTGCAGAGAACTGTGTTTTCTGCCTCTCAGAAAATTGCCCACAAGGGATTGCAATTCAGGTTGGGTATGACATTTTGGGACTCAAACAACTGGCCTTCTGCATTGTCACAGGACATCTTTAAAGAGGAAGTTTTGGATATAATTACCGATTTCCCTTACTGGTGACTGTCTTGTAGTCTAATTTTTTTTTCTTTTATGTATACATGCCTCAAATAATGCTGTACTACATAACTACTAGCCATTAAGTACAAACACCATTGTTAAATCTTTTAGGCTTAGGCTGTCAGGTGAAAAACTGGAGGAAAAAAGCCCTCTTTAACTCATAGAACAAATTCATTTCCCCTTTGTCTCAACTTTCCTTGACTGAACTACACCTGGCTCTTATTTTTAAAACTAAAAGCATCATTAATGTGATTAACTAAAGAGCCAGCTGCCATAGGTCAACACCCTCAGCAATACTGGGAACTTGGAAAAGCTTTGACGTTGCAGTTTTTCTTTGCCTTGTCCCAGATAAAATTCTCAGGTCAATGTACCTAAGGTCTCTGAAAGTGAGAAGGAATGATATTAAAAATGTATCCCCATCCACGTTCTCCATCCAGATTAAACCACGGGGGTCACACAGAGACTGCTTTATTTTCCATCCTAATAGATTATTTTCCCCTTAGTTATTATATTGATATCTTTTTTATAGTTTTGGGAAAGTATAAAACTACACAAAAGGCACCTTACATGGAAGATACAATTATGAGCAAGAGTAAGCCCTGTCCTCAAGGGGCATAAAATCTGAAAGAGTAGAGAAGTAATTACGTACCAATGGTTATGATTGAGGCCACTGCAAAGCACAGAGATATGAAAGTCAGACAGCATGATTCACCCATGTGATACTTCTACTTTACTTGGAAGCATAGGATCAATCCTGCTAAGCTACATTTATACCTTCCTTTCTAAGTTGGTAGATGAATAAATAAGATCACAATTGCAAACCCTCTAGATAATATGCATTTGAGTATCTATTTCATTAAAGTTATTGTAATGTGCAGCCCAGTTAGATAGAATGATAAAATGGCAGAAAAAGCTCAGTGAGTTTTGGGGACAGGAGCTTAGCCCTAGCTGGCTGATGGTTCAAGAAAAGCTTCACAAAAGTAAAGGGCTACGTTTAGTCATGAAGCACAAGTTGGGTAAAAAAGAACAACAACAACAACAAAAAGTTTCGGACACACACAAAAGACGCATTCAGAAATAACTGGGTTGGGTGAGAATGTCAAGTTCCTACAGAGAATATTCTAGAAGATCAGCTTGAAAGAATAGGAGAAAGACTCACTGAGAGAATATCATCAGGGAGTTGCTGTTAATTTGAAGTGCAATGAGGATTCTGAATGTTTAGAGATTCACCACATCTTTATGAAGTAACCTGGCAACTTCGTGGAAAGGTTTTGATTTGAGAAAGACCACAGATACAGCTGGGCATGGTGGCTCACTCCTGTAATCCTAGCACTTTGGGAGGCCAAGGTGGGTGGATCACTTGAGGTCAGGAGTTCAAGACCAACCTCGCCAATACGGTGAAACCCCATCTCTACTAAAAATGCAAAAATCAGCCGTGTGTCACGGCACGCGCCTGTAATCCCAGCTACTCGGGGGGCTGAGGCAGGGGAATTGCTTGAACCCAGGAGGCTCAGGTTGCAGTGAGCCGAGATTGCATGCAGCTGCATTCCAGCCTGGGCAACAGAGTGAGACTCTGTCTCAAAAACAACAACAAAAAGAAAGACCACAGACCACAGATAAAGAGGTAGAAGCAGTGTGAGAGTTCAGGCCAGAGGAAATGAGGGCCTTTTATCAGAATGATGACAGAATGAGTGATAAAAATGATGGCAGAGAGGGGAAACATTGAAGACAGAAAATTCAGGAGTTGGCAATTAATTGAATGTGGGGTACGACAGAGAAAGGGGAACACATTTTAAAGATTCACATTTCAAGTCCCATGACAAAGAATGTGACAAAATGTTACACACAAAAAAGTAATCCATATTGGAGATGATATTATCTTTTCAATCACATAAGTTACTTTGGTTCTTGCTACATTTATTACATCATTTTAAAGCTTAAAAAATTGTGTTACCACTGGCCATCTGAAACTAAAATTACTGATGATATAAACTTTCTAATCAATATAACATCTGTGCTGTTAACATATCTCAGGGCATATTTTGGATCTGAGAAATACAGGCACTATTTCTTGAAAAACAGACAAAAATATTTAAAATTTTTTAAAAGGACAAAGACATTCAGTTCCCCATCTTAAAACAGCACCCAATAGGGATGTCGGTGTTCCCTTGTTTAGGGCAGCATTCTTTGCAATAGCCAAGATAGAGAAACGACGTCAATGCCTGTAAATGGATAAATGGATAAGGAAATTATGGTATCTATAGCATGTGAATATACATAAATGTTCGGTTTTAAAAAAGAAAAAGATACTACCACTTGCAACAACACTGATGAATCAAGAGGACATTGTGCTAAGCGAAATTAGCCAGACACAGAAAGAAAAATACTGCATGATCTCACTTATATGTGGAATCTTAAAAAAAAAAAAAAAGTTGAATATATAGAAACAGAGTACAACATGGTTTCTGGGGCAGAAAAAACAGGGAGGAAATGGGAAGAAGTAGGTCAAAGCATACAAACTTGTAATTATCTAGGACGGTAAGTTTAGGGACCTAATGTACAGCGTGTTGACTATTATTGATAATATCGTATTGCATAATGAAAATGTGCCAAAAGTAGATGTTAGGTACTCTTACACACACAAAGGTAATTATGAAGAGGGGTGGATATGTTAATTTGCTTGATTGAAGTGTTCATTATATATATACAGATATCAAAACTACATATTGTATACCTTAAATATACAATAAAAAGAAAATTAAAACAAAGCAAGAAGACATCTATACTACTTACATTGGGTACAAAATAAAACTTTTCAGCGTTCATTCTATTAATTCCTGTTTTTCAGTATTTCATGAAAGTATTTAATGGGCTAATACTATGTCAAAACAGCAATGTGGGAAATAAGGGCACTAGAGAGAGCCCCAAAACAAATCTGCCACATAAGAGAAGGTATTTGCTTCGTGTGACAGGGAAAATTAAATCTTCATGCCTACATAAGTGCATAAGAATAGGCACAAGCTGAAGGTACATTAATCTTAATCACTGTTTATTTGTGGGTGTTTAGATGTATTACATGCAGGGTATGTTTCCATTATTGTTGTTTTGAATGAAACACGCAGAAATTCATTGTGAGAAAACCAGGGAAATAATTTTCTCAGTTGTAGAACTCCAGGAACAAGGAAAAAAAAAAAAACGAGAAAACTCAGTTCACATCACAGCCTTGCACACCATAGCTCTGTCTTTATTTCAAGGGGGTGGAAAAAGGAAATGAAGAACAAATCGCTCCCTCAAATGTTATTAATAACAGAATTTCTCTACATTATTATATTTTTATATTAAAAATCACATAAGGATCATTTTAAAAGATTAAGATGTGTCTGGAAAAGAATTTCAGCAAAAAAGTGGTTAACATTCATCATAGCCTTTCAAAACAAAATTGAATTCTACTTTTATCTGAAAACCTCCCATTGCGATATTACTTCTATATTTTTTTACATATATAGCCTGCAACTTACCTAGGGCACTATTTATCATCTGGACAACCTAAGTACACCCTACACACCCACATACACACACACACACACACACACACACACTCAAATCACCTTGAGACAAATGAGAAATTCTCTTTTGGGAAACTCGAAACTGTATTAAAATGGTAAGTAGCAAGTCTTCACTCTTCCTTCATTAACTTAGGCAGACAAGTGTACACACACCAAAAAAATCAAGGTTCCAACATGCTCCTGGTCATAAAAATCATCTTTGCTTCCTCCAGCCCACAAAGTTTGTTCATTTTTACAAAGACATTATAAGCTGTGTTGGAAAAAGCGGTACCCAGAGGAGCCTTCCAATTATCCACACAGGTAGCCTAGCCCATCTGGGAACCTCTACAGGTATGGGTCAGGATTTAAGGATTCAAAATAATTATTGCAAAGGAAGAGCTTGAATGAGTAATTTCTCGTCGGTATTCTATTGACAGTAGTAAAGCAGAGAAAGGGGAAACAGGAAGTTGGGGTTTAGAAAAGTAGAAATAACACAGTAAGTAAGGAAATTCAGGTTTGCCGATTGTTTTCTGCAAGTGGCCTATAGTTTTAAAAAGAGCACAGTCCAAGGTAAATTGTAGCAATTATGCCTCACAGGTACCTGTGTCAGAACAACCCTATGTGTCGCCTGCTGTAACTATTCATGCTTTGGAATTCTGAGCCTAACACCACAGTCTTAAGTAAGAAGGAATTCTATTCAGACAGTTCACATGTATATTTTAGGTGCCTTTTGTATACAGAGTTTGGGTAACGGATGTGGTAAGGAGGAGAAACACACAGTACCTTCAGACCCTGCTTTAGATTTTAGCCAAATTCAGGAATGAATGCAAATGATTTTTGAAAGATAAAATCATGTAGGAAATAAAAAGAGAAGAGACTTTCCCAGGGATTTCTATTGAAACGTTTAAAAAATGAAAGCTCATTTGAGACCAGCATGAGCAACTCGGTGAGACCCAATCTCTGTAAAATAAATAAATAAATAAATAGCTAAGCATAGTGGAATGTGCCTATCGTGCTGGCTACTTGGAAACTCAGGCAGGAGTATCGCTTGAGACCAAGAATTAGAAGCAGCAGGACCACTGCACTCCAACCTAGGCAACAGAGTGAGACCCTGTCTCTAGAAAAAAAAAAAAAAAGATGAAAATGAGAAAGAAAAAGAAAAAAAACGTAAAAAGTTCAAAATATGCAGCTTCTGCCCTGAAACCACCACTATTCCATCTGAGAGGCAGTCTTAACATCAAGACTAGTCAAGAGCTAGGGCTTTGGAGTCAGAAAGTCTGGGTGTCACTTCCAGCTCCACCACAGCTAAATTAGTGGTCTTAGGCAAAACGACCCTTAATTGAGCCTTAGGTTCCAAATCTGACAATGAAGAAAGCTGAGAACAATTGTTGGAGATTTAAATGAGATGCCTTTTCCATCAAGTTTACCACATTGCCTATGAATAGATCACACGGATTTCTGGATATAAGGGTACAATTTTCTCAGATGTCCTCAGAAAAGAAAAGATCACCCTTTTCAAATATTCACGTTGTAGCATCTCTTCCAAATGGTCTATTTTGGACCCAGTATTGCATATGACTCTCATTTGTTGGGTTACTGTTCTGACGGTTGTGCCTGTGTCACACTGGTTGTGAAACACTTTGAACACCACTCCTGCTGTTTGGAGAAGACACGATGGCTTGTTAAGACTTCAACCAATGTTAGTTTGGATGGTATAGAGGTTACCCTATCAAAAGGGAGGCAAGAACATTTAATGCTGATTTTGTCATGATCCATGCAGGGTAGAATATCACATTCCCAAGTGCCAAGTGAAAATAAGCCTTTAAAAAGATCTTTTATTAGTTTGTCTTTGTTCTCTCCCCTAGATCCATTCCCCACCTTGTTCTGCTCTGCTCTGGGTGGCCGGAAGCTAACCTGAGATAGCTTCACGCACCCTGTGGAATCTTATTGATTCAGCCAATGGAAGATAATAGAAAGAGTTCAGAAGGCAAAAGAGAAAGTCCAGGGTATTTCTTCTCAGTTGATCTTCCTCTCCCTCTCTGTCTCCCTTGGGTCTTCACGGTCCTTCTTGGAAGTGGCTGTGCTCTTCCCCAGCCACATTCCTATTGAGTAGTTAATCTTTCATAGCTCCAGGTTGCAAACAGTCTTGGGTAACATAGTTGTCTTCCCTTGTTTTTTCAGTTCTGGAGGTGAAAACAGCTGTTTCATGGTTGCTCATCCCTGGGTAGTTCACCACTCCTTGTCGATTGCCTTAACCTGCCTATGGCTTCATATGTATTTCTTTTGTTAACCTCTCTTCTGTAAAACACTTTACAATGTGCCCTCTGTTTCCCGTTGGGCCCCTGCCTGATAAAAGTAATTAAATAAGCATTAGAGTGAGTGGTTATGTTATGGAGATCACACACATAGGCAGGTCAGGAAGGACTTCACTGATAAAATGGCAACTCAAGGTTCTAGGAAGTGACAGAAGGGGCCATTCAGCTACCAGGCGGAACAAATGTATAGTTATGGTAAATATAAAGTGTAAAGGTAGAATTTCATTTGGGATTTTCAAGGCAGGAAAAGAGACTAGTGTGGCTGGAACAGAGTCAAAGGCAAGGCAGGGAAAGAGGCTAGTGTGGCTGGAACAGAGCCAAAGGGGCAACAGTCATTAGCAATTCAGTTGCATTAAAGACATGGGCCAGGATGCAATCACCCGGATAGAGAATGCAGAGAGAGAAGCTACAAAGACCCACGACAGAGCTGTGGAAGGGAAGAGGATGGGCCAGCCCCCAGCAAAGGATACTGAGAAGGAGAAACCAGAGGAGAATCAAAAGTGATAACCAAGAAGTCAAATGAAAAAAGAGTTTTAGGAGACGGTGATAACCAAGAAGTCAAATGGAAAAAGAGTTTTAGGAGACGTGATTCACTGTGTCAAATCCTGGGGTAGATCAAGTAAGATGAGAACTGCGCTCAGGCCACTGGATTTAGCTATGAGGTTCGTGGTGGACTTTGACGAACGCTGCTTTGGTGAAGTGTTTGGAAACAAAAGTCTTACTGAAGTGGGTTCAACAGAAAACGAAGAGGGATTAAAGATCAACTTTTAAAAGTATAAATTAAACCAAAATAAAAACAAAAAACTGACCTAATGTTATGTCAATGGATTTTTATGTCTTGACATAAAATTCCCAATGAGAGTGTCATATAGAAACTTAAACATGCTGTGTCTTAAACAACTTACATGATACGTGACATGCCATGCAAATTTGGCAAATAAGTTTTTAGTGATTTTAACCAATATATTAAATGTCATAAGAGGCATATCACTATCCCAGAGAGTTTATACACTCAATTTGGCCAAAACAACGTTTATTTTGTCTTCTTATGTGGAACTTCACACACACATACACCATACCTAGCTAGTATTTATGCAGAAGTTTGCTTTGCTGTATCTGAGATTCAAACAAAATCCTATTTTGAGATTGACCTGCAAACCAATGAAGCTTGACTAGGTTAGAATAGAGGTAACAGCTCGATTGTACGTTTTTCCCCTGAGAGGGAATTCAAAAGAAACATAGTTGTTAATCCTCCTACAAGGAATTCTACGGTATGCTTATCCCTTCTTGAAAACAGCATAGGCTATTCTCTAGAAAGAAGACATAAGATTCCATGTAAACACTCCAGCCAATAGATGTACCCGTTTCACATGAGCAGGAGTGTGTGTGAGTTCTTCAGTGGGTAGGTGGCACAGGTACTGAAGGAGGTATCAGGACTGACCACACCCAAGAAACATGGGTCAGTGGTATCCTGCCATCTGTCTGTATACTTTCCATGGTATGGTGATAGATGGCCCTATCTGTCAAGAGCTGTGATGCTTACATCAGATACATATAAATCACTTAGACAAGACTACCCTTTTACAGAAAGCTCATTCCTACAAAAGAACAACTACATCAAACAAATGCATGGAACAACAAACACCTTTTCCTTTTATTCCATGGCACCAAGAGGAAGGCCAAAAGAGGGATATGACATATTTTGGGATTTAACTTTCAGAAAAATAATTTATTTATTGTGATAAAGGGTAACACTTTCTTCATGGAAATGTCAGCATGGGCAAGTGGAATTTCAATGAGCACAGAGACTATTTATTGAGTGCTTACTATGGTCTATGCACACCGCTGAGTGTGCTACATGCGTAGTCTCATTTATTTCTCAAAATGACACTGGGAGGACAGTATTACTGCCCTGATTATTTTACAGGGAGAGAAACAGAGGCTTGGGAGTTAAGGGACATGCCCAAGGCAAGAGATCACACATCAGTGGAAGAGTTGCAATGTGACCACAGGAAGTTAGGCCCTAGGACCTATAAAAGAGAAAATCACTAAAATAGTAGCTCATATTTAATGTATACTGACCATGAAGCACAACCTTTACATGGACTTTATTTGCATGTTTTTCTTTCCACAACTATTACTATCATCCCATTTTACCAATGAGACAACGAAAACATCCAGAGTTGAAACTGATCACCTTGGTGATCTACTGCCAGTGAGAGAACAGAGCCCCTAGCTATTTATTAAACCCCACTCCTCTGCCACCAGAGGAAGCACCAAAGGAGTGCGGTTTAATAAATAGCTAGGCAAAGGAAGCACCATATCCCTCTGTACAGACGCTTCCATTTCAAAGATTAATTTACTGTTATTATTAAACCCAGGCATCAAGCTGGGCAACGTGGCTCACGCCTATAATCCCAGCACTTTGGAAGGCTGAGGCAGGAGGATCACAAGGTCAGGAGATCGAGACCATCCTGGCTAACATGGTGAAACCTCGTCTCTACTAAAAATACAAAAAATTGGCTGGGCATGGTGGCACATGCCTGTAGTCCCAGCTACTTGGGAGGCTGAGGCAGGAGAATCGCTTGAATCCAGGAGGCAGAGGTTGCAGTGAGCCAAGACGGTGCCACTGCACTCCAGCCTGAACAACAGAGCGAGACTCTGTCTCAAAAAACATAAATTGATTAAAAAAAATAAACTCAGGCATCATTTTCAAATATCAACAAACATGTATTACACACTCAGGATTATCAAGGCCTTGTGCTAGCCGCTACAACTGAACACAAAGAAGCAAAGTTCCTTCCATCAGTAACTGTAAAATAAGTCTGGGAAAACAACGCACAAAGCCTTATGGAAAATTTAAGATTGAATTCTGTTGAACAATTTCTTTTACTATGCAGAAGAAGCACAAGTAAGTGATTATTTGAATGGAAAGGACAATTCAGATGATGAAGATATCATTGGCATGTGTGGTAGCACAAAAGTTTCAGGATGATGCTGGTATTGGAGAAAACAAGAGGACTTGTGAAGGGTAGCAACAGGATATGGAGGAAGACATGTGGACAATTTTTGCTGAGACAGCTGGTGAATACAGAGAACAGTGAATGCAAACTGGATCAAGTTAGAGAAGAGGTGGAATCTCAGGCAGAGTTTGGACTGTATTTTGTGCATTAAGAGACGTTTGACCTCAGCCGTGACATGATATAGAACACTGCTTGCAGAAGATAAATTCGCCCTTCTAGGTAAGCATAAACAATTCAAACTTATACACAGAAAGTAAATGAAGCTATAACTAACTTGAAGTTGATGTAAGATTTTTCAGAACACCTATGCGGCATCTACTGTCAGCATGTTTATGCTTACACTGAAAAACAGGCAGATTGATTTTCCCTGATTAAGACTGTTTCAGTCTGGTCTGATGAGTAAATACCCAAAGCAGCCACATGCTTAGCTGCCCTCCCTCTGCAATTACTACCTATTTTTTTTTCCACTCTTGATTCAAAGTGTGGGTCTCAATGTGTAATTCTTAACTTTTCAGTGTAGGCACACTTGTCTATCGCTTTGTCTTGTAAGTCTCCTGCTTCTTCTAAGAGGGACAATTATTCACTCATTCATTCATTCATTGTGTGTTTTCTGAATACTTACAAAGTGCCAGGGCAGGTGCTAGGCTTTGGGGATGCAAAAATAAAATGTCATCTCAGTGTTTAAGGAGCTCACAATCTGCTTGAGGAACACAAAAGAGTGAAACAGTCACAATATGTTGGCTGAAGTCTGCAATAGTCCTACATATAACGTGCTATGTGATCACACATAAGACAGTCTTCATTCTGCCTAGTGCATCCTGGCAGGCCTCCCAGAGATAGGAATTTTTAATGAGAGTTGTGAAAAATGAGTAGTCATTCTCCAGGTGGCTGAAGAGGCAAAAGTCATTTCTAAAAGTGGGTGAAGAATGTGGAAACGCTTGGGAACGTGGGGAACTGCCAGAAAGAGTGATCCGGAGCTGAGTTTATGACAGGGGAGGGATCAAGAGGGGATTGATGCTGCGACGTGTTTGAACTTGATTCAGCAATCCCATTTCCAGTTTAGAAACAACACAGAGCATGGCCTGGGGCGTGAACAAATGGGAACTTACCATAATAAAAGTCACATACATTGTAGAGTTATCATTACAAAGATAACCTAATTTTATCTTGTGAACCTCTCTGTAGTCTCCTAGACAATTGAAGACACCCTGGTTTGTCAGAATTTACAGACGGGACTTGCTGATCCAATAAAAAACTATGGCTTTGTGTCTTCCCAACTCTAAGTCAATAATGTCAGCTAAAGGATTGTCATTCTACCTCCCTAGATGTTAACTCTGACAACTTCTCGGCCAAGCATTTTTGTAAGACAGTCATCCAGGTAGCCACAGCTTGAAAGTGAAGAATCGAGAAGGAAGGTTTGGTCTTGCCAATTATAGGAATTTGGCACCAGGTTCCAAAGCATGGTATGGCTTTGCTCATCTAGCCCCTGGAATGTGTACATGGCTAGACTGATCCTAGGCTATGAGGACCACCCAAGGTAGGTTTGAGATTCCTGAGAAATATCTATTCTCTGACTCCCTGTGCTCTGCACTCCCCAACAAAAGAATGTGACATTATGAGAATGGAACATTATAATATTATTGAGAATAGGCAACCTGGGTGTTTAGAGATCAGTAAAAACAAAGTTAACAAAAATAATGGATGCCAGATATTAAATGACTTCTTTACACTTGCTGCTTTAATGTGTTATTTAAAGCACACTAGATTTTGGCTAAAAGGGTATATAAAGGTATGATTTAAATACTTTTTTATAGGGATGACCCAAACTAACTGGATAGACATTTGGAACTTAAACTAGGCAAAATCATAATAAACCTCCCTTCCATATATACATTCTTTTACAGTTTAAAAAACGTTTTCACAAACTTAATTTTTCTGAAGCTCTCAACAATATTATAAGCCAGAAAGGACAGAGAGTCCCACATCCAGCCTACCTGAACAGACACAAATAACTGATGTTACTTTCCAAGGACAGGTTATAAAACTAGCACAGAAGCAAGATATATTAGTGACCAGGGAAACCAAATATGTAGGCATTGACTCTCAGCTTCATTCTGAATACCAAAAAAATAGAGCATTTAGTTATTTTCTTACTACCTGGAAGTTTGTGTGTGTGTGTTTGGTGTGTGCAGATGTGTCTGTGTTTGTATGTGTATGTGTGCTGAACAATGTTTTATAAACATAAGCCTGGCCTGTCGGCATAGAATTTAAAAAATAATAATAAGAGTAACAGCAGTGGTTTAATTGGATATTTGAACCATCATTCACAAAAGCTTTCCCTATTCATGACCTAATTTGAACATCCCCCTTCATATGGCCTTATGATATTTATATATGAGAATATATGAATATTCATACAAGAAAATTGAGGCTCAGAAACTTTTTCAGGATTTTGCAGCAAGCAAATGACAGAAGCAATCTAGAATTCTGGTTGTTGAATATGTAGCCCAATGTCAGTACCATCACATCAAGACAATTTCCCAGTCCTCCCAAATTGGTAGACTTTATTCCTCTGTTAATCAGTATTTATAGCTTTCTGGCTGTATAGACATAAACTTTTATAAAAGGTATGATTATTTGTACATCTTGTCTTATTATCTTCACTGACAATGGTGGTCAGTGAAGATTTATACCTTATATTTCATACATCTTATGGTATAATTATTTGTACACCTTACTTGGTCTTATTTTACCTTGATCTTATTATACCTTAGTCATAGCTTGATCTTTTATGGTCAGAATAAGATTTTTTTTGTGTATTCAGCGTTCACCAAACCTATCTTTAATTATTCCCGATTTGGTGTCTAGATCTTGTGGAAGAGACAGTCAGTGCTGATCAACATTGATGTCCCCTCTTCTTTCTGGTCACCCCACCAGACCGCATCCTCGTGTCAGAGACTCAGCCAATGGAGCGTGTGTAAAAATTAGGCCCGCTATTTCCACACTGAGCCAAGTAAGAAAATCATCTCATTTATAATTCTTACTCCCCTTTTCTAGCCACCTACTGAATAGAGAAGACACCAGGGACCCAGAGATGGGTGGAGCCACAAGACAGAAGAAACCTGGGTCACTGCACGACTCTGATGGGTAGAACCCATTCCCTGTCCAATGCTTCTCTCTGCTCCCCACTCCCACCAGTGTGCATTTGAACTGTGACATGAGCAAGAAGTAAACCCTCATTATGTAAAGCCGCTGAAGTTTGAAGGTTACTTATTATAGCTGCAGCCTACTCAGACTAATACAACTCTCCATTATGAGAAGCTAATATCTACAAAGAAGTAATATTCAACGCACTCCAAAAGAGCATACATTGTAAAGAGATTTTAATAAGTTATTGCATATTGCTGATTCTGAGAATACTTGTTTGGGGAAAAGTAATCACAATGCTATACTTTCAAATAAATACATAATCGTGATTTTAATGATCAATCAAATTCTCCTATCATCAAAATCTTTGGGTCATGATAGATAAATTATGTGAAGTACACATTGTAATATAAGACTGCCATCAAGATATTCAGGACACACTAATAAGCAAAGTATGGATGGACAAATCTAATTTAAGTCGGTCCTGCTGAGTCATTCGAGATTCGAGATATCTATCTATATAAAATGAACATAATCCATTAGCATCAAAATAACAAAGTCCCCCAAATGCAGAGAAGTCTAGTTCTGCTCATGACTTTTATCAGCATGACATGAAGCTAATATTCATTTATCAAACAGTAAGGGCATTGTTTTGCACTCAAATAATTATCAGTTAATGAAGCTTAAAAAAAGAGCCTCTCGTGTCTAGATTGAACTATTCTTTCTATGGTGCTTACCCTCATATTCCTAAATACTTATAATGTTCCCATAGTAAACGAGGTCAGCTTATGTAAGCTCAAAACAATAGGAAATTTTAGCCTCAGAACATAATAGCAAGAATATTAGAATACATTCATTCAATTCAAAAACTGAGTCTAAAATTCCATACATGGCTGCATGTCTTGACATCTATAGTGAAGCTATGTCTTTAGATAATCTCTCATGTGCTTACAGCAAAATCTGGAGTCCAAACCACTCCATTTGTTAGAAGGGAAAACTAAGGATCTGAGAGGTAAAGCAGCTCACCTACTACTGCAGAGGAATCTGGTCCTCGACTGAGAAAGATGTCTTCCAAATCTCATTTTGGTGGTTTCTTGTCTTTGTGCCTTTTTGTTCCTGCTCTGTCTCATTGAAAACTGAGATGAGAGATGTTCTTATTTGAAGCTGGCGTTCTTGCCACACTAGGACACACAGTTTTCTGATTTGGAAAAAAAAAGGGTTTACTTTTTCTAGTACTCTTAATGCAATTGCACTCACGCACTAAAGTGGAGGGCAGTGGATGTGCAATTGCAGAAAAACCCTGGAATTTCTTGGTAGGTGAAGGCTCATGGAGGGCTCTGATATGAGCATGCAGTTCACAGAGGATTTGGAGACTGCACCTTTGCCTCATCTTTCTTTCCCTCCAAGTCTCCAGAGGACTATGCCTATGGAGGCTGTGTCTATTGCAACCTTCAAAATACCTTTGTTTTTTCTTATTATAGATACAGTAAAATACTCCAGAGACAAGGGACTTGCTGGGTAGCAACAGCCTGCTGGAATGAATGAAATAGCCAAATCTTCCCTGTAATGTTGTAGTCAGAGCATCATAGCAGAGCCTGTGGTTACCGTAATCAGCAGTCCCCATGGAAGAGCTGATTTAAAGCAGCACTGATTTAAAGTCCCTGGTGAAAGTGTTAAAACCGAGCAAAGCAGCGTGTAAAGGATAGGATACAGAAGTCCAGATAATTCATAAACAAAGTCCAGATAAATCATAAACATTAAGATTCTCCAGTTTTCTCTTTCCAGGATATATATTTTTTAATCTGTTAAAAACATGCATATTTCCAGTATTTTCTCACTGTATCCGAGAAGAATGTGTATTCATATTTAGAAGGGTTGGCTAGGTGCAGTGGCTCACGCTCTCACGCCTGTAATCCCAGCATTTTGGGAGGCTGAGGCGGGAGGATCCCTTGAGTCAGGAGTTCAAGACCAGCCTGAGCAACATCACAAGACCCTGTCACCACAACAAAAGCCAGGCGTGGTGGCATGTGCCTGTAGTCCCCGATATTCAGGAGGCTGAAGCAAAGGACCAATGGAGCCCAGGAGTTTGAGGCTGCAGCGGGTTATAATTGTACCACTGCATTCCAGCTTGAGTGACAGAGTGAGACCCCCCACCTCTGAAGAATAAAAAAGGAGGTTACCAGACAGGAGGTGAACAAGCCATTTATTTGGTGGTTCCTCTGAACAAAGGGCTACCATTATTCAAATCTAAAGTGGGCATCTCTACTGTTGGAACTCTGCTCCCAAATGTATGTTTCATGACTAGACAATGAATTTGTAGCACATTCTACCCATTCAATTGAGAGGCACACTGAGTCAGCATTGGATGAAAATGCTTCACTTTAGTTACTGTTCTTAAAAATCATGTTTCTCAACAGGTTGAAATAATTCATTGGCAAGAAAAAGCTGAAACCCATTTTCCTCTCACATAGTTACGCATTTTTCTGAAATGCACTCTGCTTTCTTTCTGGTAGGATTGGTCATGAGTATCAGGGTTCTGGAAATAAACTTTTCTTTATTTCAATTACACAAAAAAATTGTTTTGGCTTAAAGCCTTTTTTCCCCAGTCCTAAGGAGGTTTTTTTTTTGTTTTTTGTTGTTTTTTTTTTTTAGATACAGTCTTGCTTTGTCACCAGGCTGCAGTGCAGTGGCGCCATCTCGGCTCACTGCAAACTCCGCCTCCCAGATTCAAGCAATTCTCCTGCCTCAGCCTCCCAAGTAGCTGGGATTACAGGCATGTGCCTCCACACCCAGCTAAATTTTGTATTTTTAGTAGAGACAGGGTTTCAGCATGTTGGCCAGGTTGGTCTCAAACTCTTGACCTCAAGTGATCTGCCCACCTCGGCCTTCCAAGGTGCCAGGATTACAGGCCTGAGCCACCATGCCCGGCTTTTATGTTTCAACATATATTTGAATATATGCTTAGAAGTCCAACATATATTTGAGTATTTGAGAATATAACATATTCTCAAAACTATCTATAACCCATCAGTGATCACTATCTTAGATTTCAAGTTCTTCCATGAGAAGAGGTATTTAGTCAGTCTTTGGTTTTTTTTTTTTTTGAGACGGAGTCTTGCTCTGTCACCCAGGCTGGAGTGCAGTGGTGTGATCTCAGCTCACAGCTGCTGCAGCCTCTGCCTCCTGGGTTCAAGTGATTCTCCTGCCTCAGCCTCCCAAGTAGCTGGGACTACAGGTACGTGCCACCACACCCGGCTAATTTTTGTATTTTTAGTAGAGACAGGTATCATCATGTTGGCCAGGATGTTGTTGATCTCCTGACCTTGTGATCTGCCCGCCTCAGCCTCCCAAAGTGCTGGGATTACAGGTGTGAGCCACTGCACCCGGCGTCCCAGGGAAATATTTTTCATAAAGAAGTAAATGGACTTTGGAGAGGTATGAACGACTCCCTATTTAAAATTCTGAATAGTGCATTGGCTCATCCACCCAGCTCTTGCAAGATCGACCATATGTGAAATTTGAATGTAGATTACAGTGTTTCAATTTAACAAGATTAAGGTGTGATTACATTGGTTAGTTTGTAATTTCATACTTTCTCCATTAAGGGATGTCAGCATTTAAGACCATTCTCAGTCATTTTTAATGCATACTGAAGCGGAAAAAAAATGCTTGCAGTTCTAAGTTATTAACAATTTAACTTTATTTAGTTTGTATTTTCTAATCTGTTACTTTAAAAAATATATGCTTCTCATATCTTCTCCACAATAACTTACATTACAGTCTGTTTAACTTTCTTTAACTTCGGCTTTCTAACCTTGTTTTCTTAAGACATTACCTTCCTCCCCTGGCCCACATTCATAGTTGAAGAACGGGGAAGAAAGCATAAAACTTTTAAAAGATACTAGGATATTTAGACCTAATTTGCTGATAGAAATTTCTATTTCCCCACTTCCTAGGGAGAAGCAGGGTATAGTCGAGTGATTCCCATCTTGGCTTCTGCTGAATACTGTGGTCCCACAAAATATTATTTTCATGCAAAAAAAGTAAATCATGGCCAAACACTGGTGAGAAATGCTGCATAACATATTAGTTTTTTGGAGAGTCACAATGCACATTTGCATATTAAAGTCCCTGGGATGTACTGCAGGAAAGAAATATGTTCAATCTTCTTCAAACAGTTGCATCATATCCACAATTTATTTGAACACACATACCTTTTTATTCTTGACACATTATTAAGATTCCTCAGGACACTAGTGTTCAAGGAACACAGTTTGGAAAAACCAATTCATATTGAAAATACAAGGGTTTTAGGGTGTGTTTTAAAATCCCCAGCTTTGATGCTTATAAGCTGTGTGACTTTGGGCAAGTTATCTAGCCTCTCTGAACCTCATTCCAATTTTACATTCCAACCAATATTTACTGAGCTTCCTTGGTGTTCTAGGTTCTGTGTTAGCTGGGCATGAGGGACATTGCAGTAAACAAAACAGGCACATCCCATCCTCAGGTAATTCAGGGTCAGGTAGAAGAGATAGACATTAAATAAATACATGTATAATTAGAGTGTTGATAAGTGCCAGAGAGGAAAAAGAATAAGTGGAGGAGATAATTACAGGAAAAAGCCTAAGTAGATTGAGTGGGCAGGGAAGTTCTCTGAGGAAGTGACAATTAAGCTGAGGCCTGAAAGAGATGTAAGATCCAGCGAAGCAAATTGTGTCAGCGAAGTATTCCAGAGAGTGGAAAAAGCAAATGCAGAGGCCGCCAAAGCGGTCTTGCATGCTGACTTCCCTTAAAGGAGAAAATATGAATCTTAGAGACTACCAAGGTATATCTTCCTTCATCTTGTTGGAAGAGCTTGTATCTGAGGTGCAGCAAAAAGGCCAGTGAGGCTGGAGCACAGCAGGCGGGGCATGAGTGGTAGGGACCATTGAAAGCAGCAACACTGGCAGCGGCCAGACCTCCGTCCTGTGGACCAGAATCCACGCAAAGGAGTCTGGACTTTAAGTGCAAAGGATGCTGGCTTGGCGTTATCTGATTCAGGTTAACACAGGGTGGTACACAGAAACAGGAGTCCAGTGAGGAGGTGATTTCTTGTTAAGAAACAGATTCAGATTCCTCTTCTGCAAACCTGGGCTATTAACTCTTAACTCACATGGCTGTAGAAAAGTGTCAAAACTTGGAAAACAGCTTGGTACAGAAAAGATGCCAAAATAGAACTCCCTGCTCCCATTTCTTTCCTGAGACATAGAGCCCAACTATCTAGAGACTTCCATATGTCTGGATTGACTTCCACCTTTTGAGTCTTGTACATTTCACCCCACTTTCTGAATGGTAACCTCTTGGGACTGTTTGTATGTGAAGTGGACCACACTGTAAATAATTGCAGAAAGAATGCCCTCTCTACTCTACCAGTCATCTCCAATGACAAGTGGGAGCGGGCACCACCAGTCTTTCTGTATGAATTCCATATTCCATCATTGGCAATGCTTGGATTCAAGTGTGCTTGTCTATCCAAACAGAACTGAAATGTGGGGGTTCTCTTGTGGGCGGGGCCAGAACCTAAATGAAAAATTACAAAGCACCTCCTAAAAAGAAAACACCTGTGCTGTTTGGACACTTTGCCTTTATTTTTTAAAATGATGTTTTTAAATTTAAAATAAAAATTTTTAACTGATAGATAAAATAGTATGTATTTATCATATAGAATATGATGCTTTGAAGTACATATACATTGTGAAATGCTTAAATCTAGCTAATTTTCAAGTCCATTACCTCACAAGGTTATTTCTGTGGTGAAAACACTTATTCACTCTCCTTGCGTTTTTCAGGAATACAATATGTTTGTCATTAACTATAGTAACCATGCTGTCTAATAGATCTCTTGAACTTATTCCTCCTGTCTAACTTTGCCTTTTTTAAAAGTGAAAATAAAACTTTAAAAAATTACCCAATTTATTTAACAAATAAATTGCATGGAAATAAAAGAATATGGGGGAAATTGTAGATTCTAAGAGACTTTAAAGACTGCTATGGGGCCAGGCACAGTGGCTCACGCCTGTAATCCCAGCACTTTGGGAGGCCTCGGTGGGCAGATCACCTGAGGTCAGGAGTTCCAGACTAGCCTGGACAACATGATGAAACCCAGTCTCTACTGAAAATACAAAAATTAGCCATGCTTGCCTATAATCCCAGCTACTTGGGAGTCTGAGGCAGTAGAATTTCTTGAACCCAGGAGGCGGAGGTGGCAGTGAGCTGAGATACGCCACTGCACTCCAGCCTGGGCGACAGAGTGAGACTCTGTCAAAAAAAAAAAAGAAAGAAAGAAGAAAGAAAGAAAGAAGGAGAGAGAGAGAGAGAGAGAGGAAGAGGAAGGAAGGAAGGAAGGAAGGAAGGAAGGAAGGAAGGAAGGAAGGAAGGAAGGAAGGAAGGGCTGCTATGGACTGAATGTTTGTATTCTCCCTAGAAATCATATGTTGAAACCCTAGTCCCAGTGGATGGTACTTGGAAATGGGGACTTTGGGAGATAATAAGATCATGATGGTGGAGACCTCATAGAGGGATTTGTAAGATTTGTATCCTTGTAAGGAGACAGGAGAGCTTACATGTGCTCTCCCTCTCTGTCTCTCTCTATTATGTGAAGATATAAGGAGAAGATGGCCTTTTGCAAACTAGGAAAAAGGTCCTTACCAGACTGCACCAGATCAGCTGGCACCGTGGCCTTCTCAGCAGCCTCCAGAACAGTGAAAAATAATGCTTTTTCGTTGAAGCCACACAATCTATGACAGCAGCCTGAACTGACTATGACAGAAAGACCTAGACCCCAAGCAGGCCAATCTAAACCATGAGATCTAGGGATATGTCCTGGGTGATAAAGAAGAGCAAGAAAGAGATCATATAAGATATAAAAATGTGGTGACTTTAGGGAAATGGTAAGGGTTGGAGATAGGAAGGAACTTCTAAGTAAGAGTGGTGAGGGGCTGGCCAAGTCCTGTTTCTTGATCTGGTAGCAGTTGCAAAGGTGCCTGCTTCATAATAACTTAATAAGTTGCACATTTGTTTTATTCAGTGTTCTGTGTTCTATATCTGTGTTTTCAGTGTACCATATCTGTGTTTTATTTTAAAATAAAATGATTAAAAAGTGAAGAAGAAATGAAAGAGCAAACAAATAATAATTTTACTTGTCAAAATGTAAAATCAAATCAATCTAAGCCATGATACAGATTTTCAAAGTTAAAAAAAGAGAAATGTCATGGGGTTCACAAAATGACTTGATGTGTGCTCTCATAGGAAAACAATCCAAAACGAGAGTAGAAATGCTGTCAGGTTTTCTGCTGAATTCTTCTCTTCTTTCTCATTGTACATTATAAATAACTAATTAAACTGTTATTTCATTACAGAGCTCAATTAATTTATATGTTGCTTAGCTGCTCTCATATCTCCAAATTGTAAGACAAAAGGATAAATTAAATGAGTAACAAAAAAGTATTCCTATTGATAAAACTTTTAACGTGGATTATAAAAAAGTTCGCCTCTAAAACACACTGGACACTTAATTTTTAATCCTTTATTTTAATTTCTAAGTAGCAATTCTACCATGTAGTTGATGGGCTTTAATATGGCAATAAATAATTAACAATTACAGGCCTTTTGTGTTCACATAGATATAAAAATATCTTCCTCCCTAAGCTGTGTTTTTCCCAGACATCTGGAGGGAACTTACACGTCTAAAAGTCCTTACTGACTAAAAGAGACCTTCACCTGTGGAAAATTTCCAGGTTCTTTTATCATCTCATCTTTGGTTATTGGAGCACAAATTCTTTCCATACCCCTCATGATCTAATAATATGGTAGAAATTAGAAAGTGTCAAATTTATGTAAGCTACTAAAAAATGTAAACCATTATTACCTGGCCAGAAGGAAGCAGGCACACCCTAATGAGGGGCTTATCAATAAACACTTATCAAAGAACAAACCACCTTCATTTCACTTTGATTTGCCCTGTCTTGGAGCTGTGTGGTATTTTTTCATCTTCATCAAGGAGGGGCCTTTTGAAACACAAACGCTGAAGAACAGTAACAGGATGGAAGGCATTCTTTGTACAAGGTAGAAGGAACTAATGGGGCTACTATATAAGATATTTTTCCTACTGTAACAGATTGCCAAATTACCACAGCATCAATGGTGTGAGAGTCTACAAAACTGCTTTTTAAACTCAAAATGCTGGGATATTATGAAGCACACCTGCATGAAAATAAATGCGAATGCTTGGTTCATAAAAATTAAAAAAAATGTGGGTTTGCAGAAGTTGGAAATACCACAGTATTATGTAAACAACAGGTCACCCTGTTTTACCACTTCTTCTCTCCCTTGGTATTAGACTCCCTTAGAATATAACTTAATGAACATGTCGATATTTCAGAAACAAGCGGTGCCAAGACGAGCCACTTGGACTCAAACTTCTGGTAGTCTGGGCAAGTTTTTAAATTGTCATTTTATTCTGGGAAAGCGCTTGAGAGGGCCAAGTGTGTACCCAGGAGAGTGCATTTTGCCCTCTTTGAGTTTCTCAGTGTGCGGTGTGAGGGCAGCCTGGCCGGAATGGTTCATTCACATGCCAGTACCTACTATGCTTTTCTATCCCAATGCCATTCACAGCAGCACGAGGGCCCAACTGCTGGCAAGGGCTTCAAAGGTTTGGATGTGCTGGTCACTGAAGAGCTGCTCTCCGACTTGGAGATGAAGCAGAGCTCCTCAGGAGCAATGACAAAGAAAACTTTCCCAGCTTTCACAGGGAAACTTTAAGGGGTCATTCCCATTACAGATTACCACTGGTTGAGGCAAATACGTATTTTTAAATGCCACTTTTACCATCCTGTGTGGTTAAGGTGATAGCACTACAATATCTGGAAATCTCCTGTGCAATTTAGTATAAGTAAGGCGAAAGAGGAGATGAGCAAACAGCCTTTGCCAAATGTCATTTGTATCATGACCATCAAAGAACCAAGCCTGAAACTTATCTTACATATAGGAGCAATAGTTGTGCACCCTACCAAAGTCTCGTAAAGCAGGGTCTATCACTACACGATTTTACTTGAGAATTCTCAGGTATGTCCAAAACACATCCACATTTTCCTCTGTAGGCATCCCCTCCAGAAATTTATAAATAGATTGTCAGCAAAGTAATAAAGGCACTTGTTATTTTTATTCCTTAGCAACTAGACAAAACCCACTTGTCCTACCACTTCATTTGCCCACTAACAAGACATCTGAAAGTCATAAAATTAAAATGCTTTGCTATAGCTGTACCCAGACACGCTCAAGAGTGACAACAGAAGCAGTTACTGAAATACAGGACCCAGGGAATCGTTTAGAAGAAGAGAGCGCGCCTGAGAAGCCCAGCGCTGCTCAAACCTATTGCCATTTTCCACACACGCTGCGTGACCGCACATGTGCAGCAAATCCTTGTCAGTTTCACGTTGCTTCCTGCTTTTCACTTGCAGAGTGAATGTACTGAAATGCAAATGAATGGCAGTGACAGACTTAGAGGGGCATTCTTGAGTTGGTTTGATTTTATTTCATTTTGTGTAAATCCTTCTCAGTTTTCAGTACTTAATTGGGGAAACCTCCTAGCTCCTAGCGCGGAACACTACGCCACGGCTCTATGGCATGAATCACGAGTGAAGCCCAATATCGCGCCTCTAGTCGCGGTCACAGACTTAGAGCAGCACTACCCAAGTCCTGCTGTTCGCTACATCGAGCACAAGATGCTCTACAGGATCCCTGCTAAAAAGGGTTCAGGGGCAAGTTTAAAAACTGTGACCTCCCCTTCTTGAATTATCTCAACGCACACTAGTGCATTTAAAGGTTTGGGAGATTCTTGAATCACAGGAGCCTGACATAGGTTTAATATAGGTTTCTCAATATTATTTGACCATAGAATTTTTTGGCGGGGAGTGGAGTGGAGGCTTGTTAATATTTTTGGGACACAGGATCCCATAGAACACAGCTTGGAAAATTCTGCTCCATAAAGCATAATGATATCTTAACATGCCACAATACGGCAGGTTGCCGAATACGTGAACTCTTTTTTGTTTGTTTCATCCTCTACACTGCGCCTTATGACACAGCAAAATCAGTATACATGTTGGTGAATCCTTAATGTAATGTTGGATACACAAAACTTGCCCCATTACACAACGAATTTTGTCTTTACCAATTCATCAGCAATATCAAAGAAGAATATGACAAAACTTTACCATCAAGGTAGTTATGATGTAATTAGGCTCATACAATAAGAAACCATGAAAGAAAGATTACAAGGCAATATGTACGACTTTTATGCTTTTATAAGGGGAACAGCATTGGAATAATTAATAAAAGTAGCTTATGTCTATTGAGTACTTTCTATGTGCCCAACACTCTGCTAATTACTTTATATGTAGTACTTCACTTTTCCCTAAGGGCAAATATAAAATTAGCTTCTAATTTTTCCCATTTTTTAAATTCAGGAAAAATAAGGCAATTCGGGAACGGAGAAGTCGAGTCACTTACACAAGGTCACACATTTAGTAAATGAACAATGGAAAAAAGAGAATACAGGCCTAGATTGAACATGATTGTAGATTTGCATTTGCAGGCATTTTAAACCTATGGAAAATTCCCAATTTCAGTTTGTCTTCTATTGTTTTTGAAAAACATCATGTCATCTGTCCTCGATTTATCAGAGTGAAGAATTTTTATTCACTATCAGTTGAGATAATGTCCCAACGATGTTTCATTTTAATTTAAAAAAATGTATTTTGCAGTAATGGAAAATCTGGAAATCTTTGTGTTTTGACTCTATTTCTATCATTCACATGCCCAGATTCATGCCAAGTTTGCATAACTCAACAAGGCAATGTAGAAGTGTTGTCAATTCTATAAATACCTGTGTGGCTCATGACCTGCCAGTAAACGATAAAAGTATAAATATTTTCAGCCCATGAAAAATGCTTGCAAGTTTTAAAATACATGTTCCAAACTAAATCTGTTATTGGTTAAATCACTTCAACAAATGCAATTTTCATACAAAAGAAAGGCACTATTCTTCAATACATATACACAAGAACAGACCAATTTGTAGTCTTTATCATTTAGCTTTAGAACAATTGATTATTGGTAGGCTGTTTCTGGTCTGGACAATATAAACAAAAATATTAATCTCCAGAAGAAAATCATCCTTCAGTCTCATTTCAAGCACAAAGAGACCTTGCCCTTGTATTTCACCAAACTGAAAGCAGCTTTTATTGATTTCACATAGGACTGAATTTGTTACAGCTTCTACAGCAGTAGCAGAAATATAATTTGGAGATATTGTTAACAAAGATAGAAACAGATTTCAAATGGAAAAATGAATATTAGAAAATGTAATGAGTTTCTGACCTATCTGATAATTACATTAATTGTGACAAAGGTTTTTCTGTTTGTTTTTTGTTTTTTTCAGTTTTTTTATTAACTGGGAAGGTTAAATATTTATGTAATTATTTAATAAACACCAGAAAGACTTCCATCTTATTTCTTAAAGCCAAATGATCTGGATATATGTGTGTGTGTGTGTATATATATATATATATTTAAAGCCATATCACAGCTAAAGGAAATATATAGAGAGAGTTGACCCTTGAACAACACAGATTTGAACTGCACAGGTCCACTTATACGGGGAATTATTTTTCAATGAAAATGACACTGAATGTGCCTGCCCTCTCGTGTCTCCCCTTCCACCTCCTCCCCCTCTTCCACCCCTGAGACAGCAAGACGAACCCCTCATCTTCCTTCTCCTCCTGAGTCTACTCAACGTTTGAAGATGACGAGGATGAAGACATTTATGATCATCCACTTCCATTTAATAAACACTAAATATATTTTCTCTTCCTTATAATTCTTAATAACTTTTTTCCCTAGCTTACTTTACTTTATAGTAAGAATACAGTATATAATATATATAACATGAAATACGTGTTAATCAACTGCTTACGTTCTCGGTAAGGTTTCTGGTTCACAACAGGCAATGAGTAGTTAAGTTTGGGGGGAGTCAAAAGGTATGTGGGGATTTTCACTTGTGTAGGAGGTCAGTGCTCCTAACCCCTGCACTGTTCAGGGGTCAGCTATGTGTATCTGTGTGTGTGTGTGTGTGTGTGTATGTATTCATTGATTGTGATGGCCAGTTCAGGCAAAAATAAATAAAACCTCAAAGTAGTATAAGTCACCAAATATTCTTAAGGGTGGGCAAGCTAATCTCCAGTAACCAGGACATATTACTTCAGGACTTATTTGAATACACAGTAATGTCCCCCTTATCTGAGGTTCTACTTCCCATGCTTTCAGTTACCCATGGTCAATTGTGGTCCAAAAATACTACGTGAAAAATTCCAGAAATAAACAATGTAGAAGTATCAAAGTGAGCACTATTCTGAGTATTCTGATAGAATCTCCTGCTGTCCTGCTCTGTCCTGCCCTAGAGGTGAGTCATCCTCTTGTCCAGCGAATCCACACTTTATACACTACCTGCACATTAGTCACTTAGGAGCTGCCTCCATTATGAGGTTGAAAGCCACTTTCAACACTTTCAAGGGTTCAGCACTATCCGAGGTTTCAAGTATCAACTGGGAGTCTTGGAATATATCCCCCAGGAATAAGAAGGAACTACTGTATCTAGAAATGCCAAATATACATCTATTTATCCTGGACTACAGGTAAGAGGATCCCTTCAGGTTTAACACTATATAACAGCTAAGAAATTGTAGAACTATTTTAAAACTATACCTCCATTTTGGACCCATAAAACCGAATGTTGAAATTTAATTCCCAGTTTGAGAGAAAATAATATTTTCCTCCTACTAGCTTTCACGTTACTGTTAAATAAAGTCTTTCATATAATAAATCTCAAGATGATTTCACAAGCAGATTTGAACCACGTATGTGCATGAGATGATCATTATAATGATATTCTAAGTGCAGGTATGCGGCTTTCCAGTCTTCTTCAGATTGTAAATGTGAATAAGCTTCATAATAAAATTTCTGCTTCATACCATGTAAGTTTCCTTGTGAAGAAAAAGAAAATACAATGTGTGGTTCATAAATACATACGAGAAATCAGAACAGCTTGAAAGCATGCCTAGTGTCTTGTCTTTTCCAATGTGATTATTTCTCTGACAAAAAAGTGGCAAATTTTGTATACAAGAGCATCCATCAGTGGTTCAAAACTGGGCCCCACATACCACACTGGCTTAACTACTAGGCATCTAAATGGAGCATGTGAAAAAGCCGTAGTGTGTGCAATGCCTGGATGGATATGGTGTCTTTCCTTTCGACTTGGAGCTGCTGAATGTGAAGAGAGTCAACAGGGATTTATTGACCTCCCACAGCATGGAAAACTGCACATTACCAAAGGGTTTAAGGTACATTTTTAAGAAGAAAAGCAGGCCAGGCGCGGTGGCTCACGCCTATAGTTCCACCATTTTGGGAGGCCGAGGCGGGTGGATCACAAGGTCAAGAGATCAAGACCGTCGTGGCCAACATGGTGAAACCCCATCTCTACTAAAAATACAAAAGTTAGCCAGGCAGGGTGGCGGGTGCCTGTAGTCCCAGCTACTCAGGAGGCTGAGGCAGGAGAATGGCATGAACCCGGGAGGTGGAACTTGCAGTGAGCCGAGACTGCACCACTGCACTCCAGCCTGGTGACAGAGAAAGACTCCGTCTAAAAAAGAAAACAAAAAAAAGAAGAAGAAAAGCATTTGCTTTTTAGCTGTAAATATTTAGGTTTTTGCGTTTCTCACACGTAGTTGTAACGTAGTCATTAGGTAGCAGCTTTAGAAGAAACACTTCTCTACTTCCTTTGAACTATGCTCAGAAGTCAGAAAAGTGAAATGTTGGAGAGCACTCCATGGCCAGCTAGTGATTTCTCTCTTGGTATGTCTCATGGTACTCAATGGGCACCTTGCTAAATGTTGGCATGTTCATAAAACTTTCCCCATTGAAAAAAATAATAATGTTTTAGAAATGCCATCAATTCCACTGTTTTTCCTTTTTAATTGATCTCCACTTGGCAGGGATCCCCAAGATCCCCTTTATTAGTCTGTCCTCCCAATCTGCTTTCTAAGAATAAAAGATTTGGCAATGTTTAATAATCTCGACTGGAGGAGAGGTTTAATAAAATACATGTTAAATTCACAGATTTACTGAGAAAAGCCAGGAGAGGCTTGAAAGATATCTGTTTGTAGTCCTGACTCAACCACCAGACATACCCTGAGTTCTTGTGAAGTGAGTTTTGGAAAAAATTATCACCAATCTCATAAGATTGTTGTGATGATTACATTAAATAATGTACTTAAATGGCCAAGCTCACTCCATCATTTTCTTGAAAGTGAAATTGTAATCATAAGATATTGGCTTATTATATTGAACATAATTGTGCTTGCTGCAGTCATTACATTGAATGAGCTTTTGTGTTATCCAGGCTCTAGGTTGAAATCTTGTGAGAGGTTTTACAGGATTAGCCTTGAATCTAAACTATGTGGGTTAGAATTTCAACTAAGCTTCATATAAGATGTAGAACCTTGGACACATTAACCTCTATGTATGTTAGTTTCCTCAATTATAAAAGACAAATAATTGATTAGTTGGTTGTTGTGAGAAGTAAATGAATAAAGCATTTAGAATAGTTGCTGGCATAGTAAGCACTATGTGAGTGTTAGCTATTATTATGACATCTTGAAAAAGTCAATTCATAAACACTCAATTCTAGGACAAGAACACTGTTCTCACCCTTAATATGTGTTTTGAAATCAAAATAATACACTCATTAAATTTACTTGACCCCAAGCTTGAATATTTAAGCTCCTCACATAACAAAAATTCTTTTATTTGCCCATAATAATTTTTTTCCTGGACTAACGGAAACAAGCTTGTAACAATCTTAATATAATAGAAGCAGAAATTAAATTTCACCACTAGTTCAACCATTTAAATGGCCTTTAAAATACATCAAAGTTTTATGATGATGGTTGCTGAAAGGAAAGGGGGAATAGACAGGATGAGAAATGAGTAGGCCATAGAGTAAGCAGAAGAAAGTGGATGGTGTCTTTTATACAGATCAAGACTCACAGGCCCACAGTAACTTTTTAAAACCCTGTATTTTCCCCTCCCTTTTCTAACTTATGGTGTATTCTCCAGTGGAGACTATTTACTTTATAATAGTCATTAAAGAGTTTTCTCTGGGTGTTTTCCTTGTCCTGTCCTTCCTTCCTTCCTTTTATCTTTTCATTCTTTCATCCATCCTTCCTCTCCTTCCCTTCACTTTGTGCCATGCCCTCCTTCAAGCACTGAGGATATGGCAGTGAATAAAATAATCCTTGTCCTCAAGATACTCACAAGCCTAGTGGAAGAGAATAGCATACAAGCAGATCATCATAGTCAATGCAATTAGGACAAAGATAATCACAGATGGAAGAAAAATGAGGATGCTGCAGTCTGGGAAGCGTTGGAAGGAGAGATAAGGAAGATTTTCTGAAAGAGGAATTGATTGAGTTGAGTCTTCAAAAATAAGTAGAAACAGCTAGAACAGGAGAAAATGGATCAGGAAGAGCAGCACAGGTTATTCCCAGAGAAGAAACCTGACAAATATGGCACGGAGAGGCCATGTGATCTGTGCTGGACCCTGGGAATCAGGTCTGTGTTGCTAGAGTATTAAAAGATGGAGAGAGAGTTTAGGAAGATCAGAGCACAGAAAGAAGAATGGGCCACACCATCCCGGTCTATACTCTGTGTATCTGTTCAAGATTTCAGGAATGTAATCTTCTTTAAAATATTCCACATAATATTATGTAGAGGCACACTCGCTATCTAATATTTGTTAATGTGTGCATTTTCCAGATACACCCCAGATCATTTTGCTGGCTGGAAAATCCACTAGATAAATAACAACTGAAGAAGTAATTCATGCCAGATTATCCTGGGCACTGGATACATAAGTGAACAGGACAGGCCTCTGGGAGGTTGCAATCTATCAGGGGAGAAAAAAAGCAAACATATAATTCAACAGCCTTAAATGAAAATATTAGGGTGGGTGGAGGGGGGAGGGATAGCATTAGGATATATACCTAATGTTAAATAACGAGTTAATGGGTGCAGCACACCAACATGGCACATGTATACATATGTAACTAACCTGCACCTTGTGCACATGTACCCTAAAACTTAAAGTATAAAAAAAAGAAAATATTCATTTTTTCTTTTTAAAATTTAAAAGTCATCCTAATATAACTTATAAAGAAAAATTAACTGACTAACTTAGTATTTGTCAAGATACTCACAAGCCTACCACTCTTCTTGAGCTCCTGGTAATAAATTTTATTATTAAGAGGATAAATTCATTTATTCATTCAAATCACACACATATATTGAGCACATACTATGGTCCAGAATATTGAATTAATTGAGTTGCTTGGGCTACATTAGCAGACAAAATGGACAAAGAAAAACTTTGAACTCCTTTTTTCCCCTTTCCTCCCTCCAAATACTAGCAGGAGGAAACCAATATTGGAATCCCTTTTTACCACGATTTCATGAGTCTTTCTAAGAAGGCACCTGAATATCAGGAAAATAATGGACTAGAAAGCAAGAATTGTAGCAGGCTGGCCCTATGCGTGGTTCTTTCTCTTAACTAAAAACTACAGATGTTTGCATTTAAAAAATATTTCATTTCAACTATTTAAGTAAAGAAAATATATACCTGGATGTCTATGTAAACATTGGTAGCCCAATGGCATTTATAAAGAAATATATAAACTCACTATAGGATTGTTAATGGACACAGAAATCATGAAGTCACCAAAAGAAATGTAATGTCAACCTCAAGTTATCTAATATTTCAAAAATAACAACATCCTGTAATGTTTTACAATAATTTTAAGGCAGACTGAACATAGTCCTGCAATTTTCATAGGGGAAAAAGTATGCACATTTTGTGATTTTTCTTTTTTGACACATTAATTGCTCTTTCATACACAAGGAGAACAAAAGCAGCAGCATGCCATATTTATTCAATGCAGGGTGAGCCACAGGGGTTGTGGAACATTCTTTCTCCAACACTAGCCAAATTATCTCAGTGCCCAACTTGTAAGAGGCTGCAATAATACTCGATCATTTCAGAGTGCTGGTTGGGTTATGCATCATTTTAACAGCACGATGGCAGATTGTGATCATCTTCATGTTATAGGAATCTAGAGATAAGTGGCAGGCATGGTGAGTCATTTTCATACATCCTCATTCTGCATGGAAACCTTAAAGAGATAGTCAGAAATCGTTCTCCTCTAGCATGGAATGTTCATTAACTCCAAGAATAAGGAGGCTTGGCTATACCTACAGGGTCATTGGTAAAGTAATCATGACTTTTGGTGTTTATCCTGAGAAAAAAACCAGGTTGAGGGTGTATAGTCATTAAAATTAATAATGCATTGTCTAGCATCTAGACTAGATGCTCCATCAAGGTAGGAATAATGTCAATTGCATTTATTGATGTACATTTAGCACCTAGTACAATACCAGAAACTTACGGGTGTTTCCTAAATACTGGCTCAGTGAGTGATTCATGGATGAAAGAACAATGTATATATAATAAACATTCAATGTTTGCATTGGTTTTAGGTGTGAACATATGAAATATTCCCTGTCAATCTGAAAGGTGGGTATTTGGCCACCTATATACATCTTAAAAAATAAGAATTTTTTAACTTGTCATCATAATGTATTTGTATGCACTGAGCTGCTACTGCTTAACTACTTGAATAAAAAAGACATTCAGCATGTTTATGCCAATTCAACTGCCATCAACATCCGAATACCCACAAAAAATCATCATCAGAGATAATCAGTCCTTTTGGTAAAGGCACAAAGCAGTTTGGAAAAACTTAATTGAAAACTGGACACAACTGGATGATGATTGATGATGAATGCAATGGTGATGAATTAATTTATTTCTTAATGAGCAGGCTCAGATCCTTCATTTCCTCTAAGAGATTAGCATATTTAAATACAATATGTTATGTTTCCCTATACGATCTAATCTTTTAAGCACTATGCCTAGTTCAAAGACTATTTTAATAAAAGAAAAAGGGACAAAAATAATTCTGTGTACAACTAAAGCACATGCTTTAGGAAAAAGGTGTGTCTGTAAATATGCTCTATATTTGTACTACAGATGTTGTACTTAGACCCTGCCAATCAGTATGCCAGAGAATTCAAATTCAAACGTTCTATCACTGCGAATGTGTTCCTCCATTCCTTCTGATGTCACAAATGTACCATCTAGTGTCCTAAAAATAATACTCTATATTTTCTATAAAATCATGATTGTTTCATTTTTTTTAATTCATCTCCAAGTGTGGGACATATATTCCCCCAAGAAAATTTATTTTAGGTCTAATTAGTTTCCTTTCTTTTCAGTGTTCTTCTGAGGTGTCTTAAAAGCAGAGATGAGGGATTGGATTTAAAATCAGTGTGACATAAGGGCTAGTGAAGAATATCGGAGAATAAAGGAGTTACTTCCCCGGAATGGGATTCGAGTCCGTTTTCAGGCTCAAGGCAGTCAAGCTGGACTCTGTTGATATTTATTTCTCCATCATCTGAGTTGGTAAGTATAGATTTGAGTTGGATCGTTCCCCTCATTCAATTATAAGCACTTTATAGGGAGAGGTCAAGTCTTTCATTTCATTTCCACTCCGCAGAGTACTTGGTAAACTCCTCTGTCGATAGCAGGCTCAGAATGAACACTGTTTCTTAACCGTTAAGAACCGAACCTGCGTTACACAGAAGCCACAGAAACTAAAGTTATCAACAGATTTCCCAAGTCTGGACAGAAAAGAATATTGAAATAGAACTTTCCCCAGGGATCTCATCAACTCACCTGGGGCATCAAGCGATCACCCGGGGCAATGTGAATTAACTCTTAGTTAATGAAATTTCTGACCAACCAGAACGCCTGTTGACTTGCCATTCACGATAGCAAGGTTTTTATTGTAATAGTGGCATTCATAACAAGACAAGTTAGCCCATATTGTCAGCTCCATAAATAATTGGGTCCCAGAAGGACTGGCAGAGAGCTTTGGTGATATATAGCTACCAAGTACACTGACAAATTGTGATCAGGCTGCCTTTGTTCCAAAAGCAGCCCGTCTCAATATAAACTCAGAATGGCAGGGGAATTGTGCAGCATAAAGCAGTCCGATAAACGAAGCTCCCATCTGTCACGGGGAGTTCCACCCCAGGACAGAGGTCACCGGGTAATGATAATAATAATAATGAGAGCAATAATGTGAATAATGACATCATCATCATAATAGGTGAACGAGCTGTAAAGAATACAAGTGGTGCCCATTGTCTATTCAGCGGTGCTGAAGGGGAACATGGACTATCATCCCAGAAGATGGACAAATCAAATTCAAACTGCTATCGTTCTCAACAAGGGGCAGAATCAGTCGTAGGATTTTCAGTCCCATTGGCATTGTATGACACAAGACAGCCGGGCAGCGGAAGGATCTGTCAAAAATCATTTGTATATGTGACCTAATATGGGGCGCTGCAACGAGAAAATGCCCCAGTTCATAATAACATTAATAATATGAGAATGTCCTAAATTCCCCGTGTGCATCAATACTTCCCTAACTGTGAAATCCACTGAAGGAAGAAAAAGAAATAAAAGACTAGCCATTTCTATTGACCAGTAACTTGGTCCAGTCAGATGTGTGGTATGTTCTGTTCCTTCTACCTTTACTTCTCGAAGGTTGGGTGGGATTAAATTTGTGGAACACCTGCTTTGCAAAGCCTGTTGCTTTTCATACATTATCTGTGAAGCTGGTAGTGGCATCTCGTTTTATGGGTGAGAAACTGAGAGGGTTAATAACTTTCCCAAGGATATGTGGCTGATAACTGGCAAAGTTAGAATTTAACTCCAGATCCATCTTCCTCCAAAGCATATACTCTGCGCTGATTGAGTAATAGCCTCCCAAAGATGTCCGTGTCCAAATCCCCAAGACTGCGACTACGTTACCTTACATGGTAAAAGGGATTTTGCAGCTGTGAATAAATGAAGGATCTTGAGGAGATTATTACGGAGTATTCAGGTGTGCTCAGTATCACAAGGGTACTTAGGAGAGAGGCAGAGGGAAATTTGACTAGAGAATGGAAGGTGATGTGGCAAAAGCGGAGATTGGACGGATGTCACATGGGCCGAGGAATGCCTGCAGCCACTGCAATAATAAGGACAAGGAAATAAAGGACAAGGAAAGGATTCTCCCTAAAATTTTCCATGGAGGAAAAAGCCACGTCAACACTTTGATTTTAGCCCCATAGACTCATCTTGTACTTGTAACCTCCAGAACTATAAGAGGAATACATTTGTGTCTTAATTCACTGCTTGTTACAGCAACAACAGGAAACTAAAGCATACACTAAAGCAATGCTTTCTTAGCTAATGTCACAGCACACGGACAGCTCTTGCATTAAGAGGCAAAAGTCAACTCTGCCATCTTTATTTAATTAACAGCTTATGAGTGAATGGGCACGGGCTAACAAGCAATATTCTCCAAAAGGAAGAGGAAATAGATGAGGTCCTAATGGATCCTGCCGCTTTCTTGTTCTATGGGAAGTTAAGCCACCCTCTTGGGAGTGTCAAGTGTTGGGCAAAACGTGACCATCACATCACACTACACAATGAATTGAGGAAAGACCAAAGAAAAAAAAATTAAAGGCAAAAGATTTATTTAACCCTCTCTGGGCTTAGCTTTTGAAAATTAGAGAAATTTAACTTAAGAAAACAAACGGGGGCCAGAACAAAGCACCGGGGCTTCCTTCTGAGACAACTGCCCGCTTAATTAGAAGTGATATAACAGCTAGAGTGTGCACCCCACGTTTCTGAATTCATTGCCACCTGTGGCACAGAGCTTTCCTCCTCAGATCCGTGATTGTCAGAAGAGTACAATCCCATGCAGCTGAAGTGTAAAGACAGCCTCCTATAATCTTGCACACAAATGCGAACCGCTCCCACCACCAGCGTACTCTTTGCCATTTAACAATTTTTTTTTTTCAAAATTAAAAATATTTAATGAGATGTTTACGTCACACCCGTTTGGGGAAACTAAGCTTTTATTTTAAGTATGAATAATACAGCTGCTTGGGTTTAAAAAACCCCCTCATTTCAATGTGAATACAGCACAGCTGCCTTGATGAGCGATCACAGAAGGGCGGTCATGCCATTGGTCCAAAGTTTGCATATGTAATGACGTCTCATCACCAATGGCTCTTTTTAAAAATAACGCCAGTTTGCCAGCATTTGATTGGTTGGTAAAAGTGCCAGTCAACTGCATCTCGTATATAAGCCAGGCAAAGCAAAGCAAGTGCGAAATGTGAAGTGTTGCATATATATGTGGATATAATTAGTTCTTTTAAAAGCGCAGTGGTCATCCATCCTTGCACGGCTTTGTAAGAATCGGCTTAGTTAGCATCAGCTGCACAAGTTACTCTTGCATGATGTAAAGCTCCCATCATCTGACATTTTGTTCTAAAAACTATTTGCAAAATGTCAGCAAGTCTCCAGACTTCAACTCAGTGGTTAAGGCCTACTCAAAATCTGCTACTAGCAACCACTTCATGCTTTTTCCCCTCTCAGTGAATATTCATACAAGAAAGAGTTTACTGTTAAGAAACCAAAAGAAGTGGGAAAAAATCTTTCTTATAACACCACAATACATGAGATAACAGATTTCCAGTTCCAGAAAACACCATACACAAAGGTAAGATCAGAATGAATGAAACTATAATAAAGAAGATAAAATACAGGCATCCCAACGAATGGTGGTAAAAGCATAGAAAACCTATTAATGATCCCCACTACTGCTAATTGTGAATTCTGGGTAAAGGCGAACACAATTAGAAAAATCCATAATTTGTGTTTCTGTGTGGACATTCTTGCCAAGCAAACCATTTTATAGCTATTGTCTCAATTACCCGTATTCATGGTCATATCGAAGCCTCATTGTGGTCATCAGTAAATAAAAGTTCATTTCCATGCCTGTAAACACAACAGGACTGCACAGATTTGGATTGCCCTAATTCACAATTTGAGGCTAGATGATGCAGATAACAACATTTACAAGGACACCAAGCAAATGGACAGTGTGGGCAATACTTATGTGGACTAGTGTCCAGACTTCTGCCATGTGACTACTAAAGCTTACATTTTATATCACACATTGTAGAGATAGAAAACAGGTATTTAGGCTACTGCCAAACTCAATGTTCCCGCAGATGCTTCAGGGCTCCTGTTAATTCCTCACTCTTCTATAGGACTAGCAGTGAGGGCCACTCAGATTCGCTGGCTTAAAAATATGAATAAGGCTGGGAGAAATGGCTCATGCCTGTAATCTCAGCACTTTGGGAGTCCAAGGTGGACGGATCACGAAGTCAGGAGTTTGAGACCAACCTGGCCAACATGGTGAAACCCCGTCTCTACTAAAAATACAAAAAATTAGCTGGGCATAGTGGTGCGTGCCTGTAATCCCAGCTACTCCATAGGCTGAGGCAGGAGAATCACTTGAACCCGAGTGGAGGAGGCTGCAGTGAGCCGAGATCGTGCCACTGCACTCCAGCCTGGGTGAAAGAGTGAGACTCCGTCTCAATATATATATATTGAGATTGCATATACATAGAGAGAGATTGAATGATACTTCTATGTGTTTGTTCTTAGTCTTTATTTTATTTATATTTATTATTTATATATATATGGATAAAAGTTGAGAGCTTGCCACCTGGAAAGTGGCAGGATGTAGAATAAAGTAGAACAACAGCACTCAGGATAGTGGATGATGAGACTCAATGACTTGGAAGCACAAATATGAAAAAAGAAGTGCCATTATCTTAACATGGAAAATGAGGATGTACCTAAACAGGTCTAGGTCTCTGGGCAGGAGTGACAGCTTAGTGAGCAAGTTGGCAGAGTCTTTCCTTTAAAAAGACTTTAGCAAGGTTAGACTGCAACCCCAAAACAAACAACACATGTTCACAGCATGGAAACAAATCTTATATGAACACACGTATCTACACACACATAGCGACATTCTTGCAGCTTTTTCCGTTTTTTAATATTAACTCTACTCATAGATTTCAGATGTGCTAGTATGTAAAGAACTGTAGGCAATGTTAATATGGTTTCATCCCCCCCCTCCGAGTTTGCCACTTCATGAAGATATTTTAACTACTTGTCATTGATAATGATTACACACAAGTGACTACTCCTCATTAAAAACTTGGCACTAATACACAAATAATTATTGACACAATTAAGCTTTGACACTGTGCCCATCAAATTCCTTTTGTCCTTGCTATGTATCAGTCCCACATTATTCTTTTTTAAAAAGAGAAAATTATCTGTTTTAATCAGAGCTAAACTCCCTCAAGTTTGTTCAGAGTATAAATATAAAGAAATGCTGAATAACTAAAAATAGCCAGTGCTCTACCCAGTATATTATTAGCATTCATAAAGGGGGAATGAAAAAGCAATGTTCAAACATTGAAGGAAAGACACCTAATGCAATAAAAAAGAATAATTCATTATGAGAGTCCCAAAATGAGGGAAGTCTGTCACTGGCAATGAATACAAATGAAATGTGGTGATGGTTATTTAAACAATCTATATGTCTGTACCAGCATATAACTGAATATATTATACACAACCTGTTTAATTTCATTCCCAAATTCTTAAAGTTGACAGAGTTATATGTTTGCTAATATACTCAGTGCATAATTACCCTGGTCAGTATGAATATTTAACAAATGTTGTCAAAGAATGATAGTCATTTTTTCTTTCTAAAATAAAAAATGGTGAAAAAAATATTAAAGCCCTACACAATCATTTCCATCAAGAAAGATAATACCATCTACTCTCTTCCAAATATAGTTTAGGCCACATCTGCTACAAGAGAGCTTGAAATATTATCACAGAAATGTTTGGATAATTAGCAATTAATTTCCATTGACTAATATACAATAAAAATAGAGCTGCGTATGCATGAAGCGAATCGCAGTGTGTGGTCCCCCTTCCCTCCTAATCACATTTCCACATGGGTAAAATCTGGTTGATACAAGTTCCAAAGACAGTCTGAATCAACTGAAAAATGCGCAAACTGCACTCCATAGAAACTGACAGGGGCAGAAGGCAAACAGAACATATAACCCCACGTAAATACGCAAGGTTTATTGGCTTATTTATTTTAAATGCTGCTAGGTTTCTATACCCCAGCACTGCCTCAGGACCCTCTATGAGTCACCTGGTTTTAATGGTAGTATAGAGATTGCATGATACTTCTAAGTGTTTGTTCTTGGTCTTTATTAAGCCTAGTTGATAATAAATATTTTAATGAGAATTCCCCATTGCCTGTGTACACATCCTTCTCTCATCTTGTGAAGCCTTGCCCATCAGCCACCAGAATCTGAGAGAATCAGAAAGCAGAGCTGGGGACAGTCATTCTGATTTATAATACCCTAAAGACAGTTCTGCCACCAAGTGTATTGCGCTCACCCCTATCCTACCTAAAACGTATTTGTTTTACTACAAGACTCTTAGATATTCTCCAGCTAAATACAGTTCAGCATTATGTCAGTTTCAGGAAAAATCTGAGATTTTATTAATATGAAATAATTCATTAGCAGCTTCTAAACACTCAAAGAATTTCAAGCTGTGTAAGGGAGGCCTGGTTGTGAGCGGCAGGTATTAGCTGAGAAGTAAAAAAGGTGAATAACAAACCAGTAAGAGTAATCAGATATTCAGGATGGTTAATGAGTACAAAAAAATGAGTGAATGAATAAGACCTACTATTTGATAGCACAATAGGGTGATTATAGTCAAGAACTTAATTTTTAAATAACTGAAAGAATGCAATTGGCTTCTTTATTATTCAAGGGATAACTGCTTGAAGGGATGGCTACCCCAATCTCCATAATGTGCTTATTTCACATTGCATGCCTATGTCAAAATATCTCATGTACCCCATAAATATATATACCTACTATGTATCCAAATAAATTTTCTAAATTTTTTTTAAAGTAAAAAACAGTAATCAGATAGTGTGTCAAATGCCAAACTCAGCATTGGAATTAGAATTGTGTTCAAATTAGAATTTTGCCACGTTTTAGTTGAGTAACTTTAGGCAAATCTCTTGACCTCTACATTATGAAATCTCATCATCTGCAAAAAGGAAAGAGTAAAACTCTTTTCATGATGCTAATGCTAGACTGAAATATAAAAATATATGTCAAAATGACTAGCATTTTTCTCCCCAACCAATAATAGTAACACAGAACCAACTGTCATGAAGCATGTACGGCACATCTGAAGTCATTACAACGCTTGGTTTTGACTTTTTAGTCTTATTTACATTTTCCTAGTACTGAATCTTATTTTTTTCATATTTGTATCTTCTGGCACGTGTTCATTTTATCAGTTTCATTAAATCTTTGTGGATTATGGAAGTGACAGATAAATTATACATATATGAATTGCATAGAGCATTGTAGTAAAATTTTCTGTATGACAAATACACACACAACCATTAGCTAACGATTGACTTTGCTAAGGAAAAATGTTTACATTATAAAAATAAATGTCAGAAAGTCTTCTACAATTTATTTTACCAAGACCATTATAGGCAAACAAGGAAGGTCTTATGTCCAGAGGTTTAAGAATTTGTTTGCAGTTTAGAGTTTTATGCCCTAAATTCTTTTTGACATTTGGTCTTACGCCCAAAATATGAATCTATGTGTCATACAATTTAAGGGAATATAGATCACAAAACAACAGATTTTCACACATACAAAATGTACTCCATAAACCTTTCTTTCCAAAACAACTATGAGATGGAAAATTATCCATTTTAATTCTCATTGCCTTCTTCTATGTATCAGTGAAGGAAATGTTGACACGTAAGTAGTTCAAGGCAGACTGCATAAGGCAGAAGTGATAAAAGGAAAAGAAACGTGCAGGATCATTGAAATTTGGCCATACGTGTACAGTTCTTGGACGAGACCCATGCACTAACTTCTACTTACCTGATATTACTTCAATGATGTGGCAATTGTGACCAAGAAAATGAGTCTGTGTCTTTGACTGGCTGGGTCTTGCCAAACAATCATTGTAACAAAAAAGGAATGATAGTAACTAGCCCTTACATGGGTATATAAATTAACAATGTCAAATATTCAAAACACAATCAGTCACACAGAATATCTCATCTGTCTTTCCCAGAAACCATATAAGATTAGTAAAACAGGCCAGGCGCTGTGACTCATGCCTGTAATCCCAGCACTTTGAGAGGCTGAGGTGGGTGGATCACCTAAGGTCAGGAGTTTGAGACCAGCCTGGCCAACATGGTGAAACGCTGTCTCTACTAAAAACACAAAAATTAGCCAGGCATGGTGGCAGGTGCCTGTAATCCCAGCTACTTGGGAGGCTGAGGCAAGAGAATCGCTTGAACCCAGGAGGCGGAGGTTGCAGTGAGCCAAGATCATGCCACTGCACTGTGGCCTGGGCGACAAGAGCAAAACTCCGTCTCAAAAAATAAATCAATAAAAATAAGAACAAAACAAAGATTAGTTAAGCAATTGTCATCATTATACCCACTTTATAGATGAAAAACTGAGGCTAGGTAAAGTTCAATGCATTGGCCAAGATCAGAGTTTGTAAGCGACAGACCAAATTTAGAATCTAAGAGATTAGTCTACTACTATTTCAAAGCTCTTGCAACTATGTTGCCTTTTATGTTGCCTTTTATGTAGGTGTCCTGTCACTTCCATGAAGTCATTGAATTCACTGTCCATTACTCTAGCTCTGGGTCATTCCTAAGCTTCATTAAGAAGTTTGCTCTGAGTCCATTTTAAACATATTCATGATCTTCTTATTACACTTTAACTGCTATATCCTGCTCTTAAAAAGAAAGATATGCTATTTTATCTACAGCTAGATTCCTCTTTGATTATTTCATCGGTAAACACTTGTTTGATTATTTTCTAAAAAGATGCAAACACTTGTTTGATTGTTTTCTTTGAAAGCAAACATGAGAGATTTGAACAGACAGTAGTGAACAGCCTCAGCGGCTGCTTCCCTGTGCCTACCTTTCAAGCAACATTGACTAAATCACTCCATAATCTTACTCTTGAACTGGTTATGCCAGAATTGGTAATATAAATATTTTAAGCCATTAATATAGATAGACTTTATTTTCTTGACTCTCACCCTTAGAAAACGGATTAGATGAATTTTCTGGTCAGTTTGCTACCCCATCAAGAAAGCAATGGTGTCAAATTTTGAAATGTGAGAATGGCTGATTGGTCTTTAATGAAAGATTCTAATTTATACCAGTTTTCCTGAAAACACATGACTAGTTTCTGTTAATAGCCTAAATGATCACAGTTCCACCAATTAAAGTTAACAAGCCAGTAGCCAATATAACTCACATTAAGAAACAAATACATATTACTCACAACTATGAGTCTGCATTCAGAAAGGAAAAGGGATGGAGTTAGTATGAGCTGCAATTATTCCTCACTTCCCCTACTCTTGATATATTCTAAGGTAGATTAAGATCAGTAGTATAGTCATACAGAAAAACTCATGGCTTAACCCAACTCTCAAGCTCCATCAGTAGAGGAACATCTGGGACACCTGGGGAGATTCCCGAATTTAGAGCCTCCCCATGTTTTGTTTCTTCAATAGCATTCCCTAAGTGTGGCACATGAGAGCTGGAAAAAAGGTGCATTCGCAACCTTTTTTTCATATTTTTATTTTATGGTTTCACCTTTTATTTATGCAGTGCTGATATAAAATTTCTTATGAAATGTATCATAAGTTTAAAAAAGTGAGTCTGATTTTAGTAAATATACTAAGAAAGAGATCAAGGGGAAGAGATAAGGTTAGTTAAGACAAAGAAGATAGAGGAGGTCAGTGTAAGAGACTGAATTGCTTCCCCACTGTCTAAATTTATATATTGAGCCCTATCCCCCAATGTGATAATATTTGAACCTTTGGGAAGAAATGAGGATTAGAGGAGGTCATGTTGGTAGAACCCTAATAAAGGGATTAGTGATTTTGTAAAAATAAGAAGAGAGGGAGATATCACCCTCAGTCTCTGCCATGAGAAGTCTCAGCAGGAAAGCAGCCAACTTCAAGCCAGGAAGAAAGCCCTCACGGGGAATCCAATCTGCCAGCACCTTGTTCTTGGACTTCCCAGCCTCTAGAACTGTGAGAAATAAATTTATGTTGTTTAAACCACCTAGTCTATGGTTTTGTGTTACAGCAGCCTGAATAGACTAATACAGTCAGAAAATTTAGAGAAACATATAAAATATTCAACACCCTTGGATAAAAGATACAATATGAGATGTATCATATGTCCATTATCATATGATACATGGAATATCACATGTCCATTATGAGATTAGGGTGGGCCAAGAATTCATCTGGAATTTGATGAGATGGAAGAAGAACTCTCTAAGGCTGCACTTAGCATGCACCACTCTTGGTCACTTTAGTAGCAGAAATTCTTTCTCATTTGAGTGACATTACAGTGAGAAAAGCAATATAGAAATAAAGAAGAAATAGGGGTGGATCAAAATGTAATTTAATTAGCTCCATCCCAAAGGCTGGTCTGGAAAGAAATTTGGATGTGCATAAGCAACAAAGGATGAGCAAAAGGAATTGACAGGTCTACAGCTTTGAGAGTTTCTCAATATTGTGTTCCCCTGTTATTTCTTCCACTGGTTTATTCACAACCAGTGCTGATAAACCAACCTGGTGGCATTGCCATTACTTCTTATTTATTCTATTAGCATCAATGCCTGGGAGAGACTCAGAACTGAAAACTGGTGGGACTCACTGTCTTAGAATCAAGCTGAGGATGGGAGCATCGATAGCAATTTGTTGATTCATTCAGCCTATACGTTTCAGACCACAATGAGGAGAAAGTGAGAATAGAACCACAAGACAAAAAATAATAATCCAGCTGGGTTGGTATGCAGACATGGAAAATATTTACATAGGTGCATAAAGAACTAAATTTACAAAAGACTTGGCTATGCCAAAGTTTTAAAATACAAAATGCATGTAATCAATTTAAAAATGATCATCCTCTCTCAAATGTGAGGCTTAGAAATTGTACATATTTGTGTAATATACTAATAAGTGGGGTGGGATATGGAGTTGTAAGCTACTTTGTTATGTGTCCCATTAAAAACGGTGAATCCTTATGTACCTAGGTACTACTGGAAATAAAATCAATTTCTTTACCTTGTTGTTTATACTACTTTCAATCAACCAGGACAGATAACCAAGATCACTATATGGTTCTGCAAGAATATGCTTCTGTAAGAATTGTCAAAATAGACGCCACTATTTTTTTTTTGAGATGGAGTCTCGCTCTGTTGCCCATGCTGGAGTGCAGTTGCGCAATCTCGGCTCACTGCAACCTCGGCCTTGGCTCACTGCAACCTCCGCCTGGGTTCAAGTGAGTCTCCTGCCTCAGCCTCCTGAGTAGCTGGGACTACAGGTGCGCGCCACCCATACCTGGCTAATTTTTTGTATTTTTAGTAGAGACGGTGTTTCACGGTGTTAGCCAGGATGGTCTCGATCTCCTGACCTTGTCATCTGCCCACCTCAGCCTCCCAAAGTGCTGGGATTACAGGCGTGAGCCACTGCACCCGGCCAATACACGCCACTTTTTGTTTTTTAAGAGCCAAGAATGTAGAGATTCACAAAAAATGGAAGAAGAAAGGACTTTGATAACTGAGCTAGAACAAAATTTCCTATTTATTGGCAAACATTTGCTCTCAATGGACCTATAATTCTATTTCAAATTTAACAAGCTCTGTTAGTAGCTTTAAAATGTTTCGGGGCGCAATTCACTTAAAGGTGAAGTGTAGTACTGAAATTATTTGATGAAATAAAATTGTATATGTTTCCTATTTTGAAAGTGCTAGCAAAACTAAGATCAGTTGTGACAGTCATAGAATGAGATTAATAAATAACAACAATAATAAAAACAGAGCTCTAAACCCCAGAAAACCAATTTTGAAACAATTACAGGCAACTATTATGGGGTGCCTCTAAACAGTTTTAGCTAAATTCCCCCAGCACAGCTCTGATGACGATAATGTACACTGTGTATGCAATTCACCGCACACACTTCAAAATGTACTCTGCTGTATTTTGTATTAATGAATAAGGCTAAGGCCTTAATATACCATCGTTAACAATAGAATTTTTCACAAGTGTGAGAGTACAACAATGTTTCCTCTGTGACTTTATATTCAGGAGAGAGGTAATTTTTTGTGTGGGTGTTTTAAAGCCATTACTAAGACCTCTGTGGTTATTTGTTATACCATTATGCTTAAATTCTAGCTACCAAAAAACTGGAACCAGAAGGGAAAATATGTTCTAAGATAATACTTTCTTCAGCCAAACTGGTAATGGCTCTGTCCAACGAGAACTGTGTTTGTCCAATAAAACAGCGTTGAAAAATGGGTCAGAGAAAGCTGAATAATGGTAGGTCTCTAACTTCTAAATAAAGGAAATATGCAAAACCGACCAAACCAGGCTCAGCGTCTAATTCCACTTTGCCAGGCATTTTGCAAACTTTCTTCTTGCCGACTGAAATCAACATTCAGGACCAACCTCTCATAAAAATAAACAAGAACTAGAATGTAACGAGTGTATGTTGTAACAATCTACTGCCAATAATGAATCCTACAAACAATCGCCTAGTTAGAGAAGTCATTCACCTTCACTAATTTTTATCTTTTATCCTTTCAATGTTCTATTGAATTTTACACACACGCCAAAAAAATCAAAATTCATTGTATAAAGTGATGTCGCCATGTTAATAGTTAGTGAAAAAGCTGTCCAATATGCGGCTACTAATGAGTCTTTGACCACATCAACTGACAGTTTCTTTTTAAGTTTCATATGAAAATGTTTTTGCTATTAAACCAATTATTTTTTTCCAAATCAATAACTGTTTCTTTTTTTGACTTTTAATAATCCCAGTTTTGCTGCTGTTTCTTTTGAAACATGTTATTTAAAATAGCAAAGTTGTCACTGTTATCTTTGTTAAATAGCACTATTATCTTTGATGACTATTCTATGGATAAATGTTTTGCCAACTACATTTCTGCAGAAGATCATAGCTCTCTACCTCTGTGGTCTGCTGTGAACACTCTATAGAGGTTTTGGAAGCTCTGAAGTAGATGTCAAATTTAAAACTATTGAAGTGAAAAAAGACTTTAGTTCAAATTTGATGTTAACTTTACAAATTTTGTGGCCCTATGAAAATTAGTTAATTTCAGGGCCTTGATTTTCTTTTTTCCTTTTTTTTTTTCGCCCCAAGCATGACATTAAGAGCACAACTTCCACTGGAATATTAGGGGAATATAATGACACAAGTGTAAGTTGAGACCACAAGTAGAAAATTCAGTCTGCTGAGGGTGGCAAGCCTACGAAACAAAGGCCCTGCAAACCAAATCCAGCAGGAAAGGGATTTTGGCTTTAGCCAGCCCATTCTTTTTTGCTTTTTTTTTTTTTTTTCCAAGTTTGAGTGCCTTTAAACAAGGCACCCGCCTACAAGTTTACTACAATCCCTTGCATTCTCTATAATTAATACCTGTCAGCAACACACCTTTTCTATCTGCCTAACTCCACAGGTATTTGAGTTTCTGCTTTTGGAAGCAAGGCCTACATAAGAGGATCAGAATTCTACTCTATTCTATTCTATTCTTTAATGGAGTGGTCAGATATGACGAACCAAGCATGCACAAACTGCCAGGGGCAAGACTGAGCAATGCCTGTCTGTGAACAAAATTCCAAGGCAGACATACCCCACTCAGAGAGCATCAGGACAGAGCTGGCTGGGGCTGTGTGGCACGGCTCCCCGGATCATAAAAGTAAGAGATGAACAAGGATCTGTGTGTCGGCCTCAATACTAACCTCCCATCCTTCCTCCTTCCCTCCTTATCTTAACCACTCTCTGTCTTTAGCCTTTACGGTTTCTCTCTCTCTCATTTTCCCTCCCTTCTTCCCCCTTTACTGCTCTTTGGTCAGCCTATCCATTTGGCCTTGTGCTGTGTGAGTGGCTCCTAGGCCACACGTCCCTGTGATGACTGTCTCTCTGATTTACTATCTCTGTCTTCTTGCTTTTCAATCTGCTAACATTGCCAAGTTAATGCTGGTACATTAATAAAGGTTTTGTATGACACATTCAGTGTCCTAAGAGAGCTTCCACACTTCCACTGAAGTTACCCTAGGCAGAGAGGAGTGAACATCTACCCCTGAGGGACCTGGGGGCTTAGCCCAAAGCAGCCCAGAGCAAGCCTGAAAGAGCTTTAAAGTATCATGTTGTGCTTTAAAAATTCATGTGAACTTTATATTCTGTTCCATAAATATCTCCATATTTGTGTTACTATTAAAATAATATTTCACCGAACTTACTGAGTAAAATTGATGTTCATGGAAGATGTGTCATGTTAACACTATGATATTTTGAGCACCTTGTTAGACCATTGTCTACCACTCAGGGGGTCACATGCCAAATGCAGGGGATTGGGGAGGACTTCTTCCGCCTTCCTGATAGTGCCTCCCAAGTGAAGGGTGATTTATTTGCGTAACATGCCTGGCCATTCTAGATGACTCTCTCATTTCTTCTCAGGGGGAAGGAAGAGGGCAAATCTGCTTGGCAAATTTAAAAGGAAAAAATGCTCAACCACAGCCCCATCTCACTCTCTCTCTCCCTCAGAAGTTTCTCACAGGATGCACAAATGCCACCGTGTTTCTCTAGATCATGATATTTTGAAGGGCCTTTCCGAAATGTTGCATGGTGATGGAGGTCAGAATAGGGGTCACCTTTGGGAGAGAGTCTATGTGATGCTGGAGAGCTGAGACATCTAGGTAGTGGTTACATAGGTGTACGCATACATAAAATTTTATAGACGTGTATGAGATTTTTGACTTAGCTTTTTATGTTATATATCACTAAAAAAGCAAAGCAGCAGCAAAAACAACAAAAACAAAAATTAAAAATACCAAAGAGGGCCAGGCATGGTGGCTCACACCTGTAATCCCAGCACTTTGGGAGGCTGAGGCAGGTGGATCACAAGGTCAGGAGTTGGAGACCAGCCTGGCCAACATGGTGAAACCCCGTCTCCACTAAAAATACAAAAATTATCCGGGCATGGTGGCACACGCCTGTAATCCTAGCTACTCAGGAGGCTGAGGCAGGAGAATTGCTTGAACCTGGGAGGTGGAGGTTGCAGTGAGCTGAGATCGCACCATTGCACTCCAGCCTGGGTGACAGAGTAAGACTCCGTCTCAGAAAAACAAAACAAAACAAACAAACAAACAAATAAAAAACACCAAAGAGAAGGGTTTAATACTTCCTCCTCCTAATGCATTTCTATGGGAGTCCAATTCTGCTTGTGCCTAGGAGAGTACATTTTTCCATTTTCTAATATCAATTTTATTAGTAAAAATGGGGTGACATTTTGCTCTCCTATTCCTCACCTTCTTTTTATTTATCTATTGGTTGAGAACTCTGAAAATGCTATTGATGGATGCTAGCTCTGTAGTGTCCATTAACTAGAAAGGGGTTCCCCTAAGGAAGCAGCTGGCTGGCCTTTCACCCTTTCCTACAGTATAGTACAACAGAGACTGGAGCCTAGGTGTCCCAGTGGAATCTGAGACATGTCCTCCGTCAAAGCCCTAGGCTCCATCAAAGGGATTAGGACACAGGCACTCAATCGGGAATATCAATCTGGACAGGTAGCAAATTCCTCACCAGGTCCTACAGTCAGGGAAACACTTTGCCAAAGGCCTGGCACATATTAGATACTTCAATAAATGCAGTTCCCCTCACCTTTTATACTCTGATTTGAGTTTCTGCATCCCTAAAGAAAATAAGTCATCCATGTATTATACAGAAACTGGTTTTTCAGGAAAAAATAAAAATGTTTGTACCATGGTGAGAACATTTCCAGGTCTCCAACCCATCAGAGAATGTTTTAACCTAACCATGATGAGATATTGCTAAGCCAGGAAGCGTTTCGTTGTGTGCCATTTTTACATAAAACATTCAACAGAAATTTGGTGACAGGCTATAAAAGTACATGGAGATGTGGTCAGAGTTCAAGTTATGCTTAATTACAGGCTGTCAGTTATCAAGTGGGAAGTTCAAAATGCAGCAGCTAACCAACACACAGGCTAACCTATTCCACCAGAAGGAAAGCATTCTTTTTTTTTTTTAAAAAAAAAAAAAAAAAAAAAAAAGCATTTAACACTGGCTGCAAAGCCCTGGAAAGAAGGCAGAGGAAAAAGTACAATTAAAAGATCATTTCAAGTGACAAATCCTATGTGTCTAAGTAAATAAAAGGATGGGACTAGCATTTGGAATGTGTGAGACCCCAAGGAGGGTGGCAGTGGAAATTCACAACAGACATTGGAGGGAATTTTCTGAATCCCAGTCACTACTTAGACAGCAGTGGAGGGGATCCATGTGTTAGGGGGCCTGGGTGTGGACCCACATGGCCAACTCTGGCTGTGTTGGCGGACATGGCAGGGCTCTTCGGATGGGAAACTGAAGCAGGACTGCCAGTGACTTTAGGCTTGAGAGCGTGGACTTGCAAGCCATATGACTTCAGTTTCATGTGGGACGTTGAGTGAATGCTCCAACCTCTTTGTGACTCAGTTATCCACAATGTAAGAATCATAAGAGTACCTGCCTCATGCTATTGTTCTGAGGATTACAGGGCTTAATAAATGTAAAAGCGCTTAGAAGTAGGCCTGACACATAGTCAACACTATATGTGTTAGTGATTATAATTTTTGCCCATCCAAACTGAGACTCTCAGGAAATCCCTCCATTAGCAGCACTATTTTCAAATTATCAAAGCGCAAACACTCATCTGTATTTCTATGTCCAGAGAAAATCATGAAAATTTTTGTATTATTCTTTACATAGTGTTACTCTTTGTACATTGAGTTCAAATAACTAAATTATTAGTTGTGCCCAAGCCATTGAATTTAGTTTATGCCATTATATCCTTAAAAGATAAATGCCTATAGCAATATACAAAGATACACACACAACCCAACATGCAAGAAAATTCAAAATCCCATAGCTTTCCCTTTATTCCCATATTTCAACTAATTCTTGGCCTCCACCTCCCCACCTGCTCCATGGTTATGGAACAGGATTTTTCCCTCAGAACCTCAGCCCTGGTACTGCCTTTTATGAACTCCAGCTACATTAAAACATGCACAGGATTATTTTGTTGGTGATGAATATTAGACGATGCATAATCAAAGCCTAATCCCACTCTTTGGGAGTGGTCATTTTTTTCTTACCCAAATATTCTGTAAATCTTTGTGGGTCAAGGGAAAAAAATCACAGCCAGAGTCCATTAAGCATTGACAGTTTAACGGTTTTCCTATATGGCTCTATTTTCTTGCACACTCTCTATATTCCAAGCACTGTGCTAAGTATTTTCCCATGCATCACCTCATTTCACGCCAATAGTAATTTATTATTCCCATTTGACAGGTAAGGAAACAAAGGCTTAGAATGCTTAAGTGCAAGATCAGAGGAGAGGCTCGAATTCAAACACAGGTCCCTTTCAGGCCAGAGCCTGAAGATCAGTATTCTAAGTTGGTCAATTTGGAGGGTCCCTTCCTCCATGATTACTCCAGCTGGCTTTTCCATTTTGCTCTCAGGCTGTTGCTTAATTTAAGGTTTCATCACACCTTGCTTAAGCTATGGTGGCCGCTCTCTAATTGCACTGCCTATCTCTCATATGGCCTCCACAGTAGCTGGGAATTAGGATTCTGGGAGTCGTTTTGGAAAAGGCCCATGGAAAGGAGTGGCAAGCCGGGACACCAGCAATAAATTCTGTCAGATTCCCAGACCAGTCTGCCCGGCCTCCAGCATGCTCACCCAGCACGCCACACACATTTCCCAAGAGTCTCCTAAGTTCCAGCCACTTCCTGGGTTCTGGGGGCACTGGGATCAATTCTGACATAAGTACAGCCCTAAAAATCTCAGTCAAATGAAGGGGAAAATATATGAACACCAAGTGCCTAGGGAAAGAACTGCCTATTCCAGGAAGCTGGGGAAGGTGTTCCTGACTTAAAAAATACCAACACAGGGGTCGTGGACAGCAGACCAGAACTCACTATCAGAGGCAGTAAATAACTGCATTTCTGAAGGAGAAAAGTGCTTTTGCAAAGGCAAGGATACGAACAAAGGGTATGGGGTGTATGTTTGGTTGTTTATTTCTTTAAGTAGAGTTTAGTAGCTACCTAGTGCCAGGGCACACATAGGACACTAATAACACAAGAATGAATGTAACATGATCTCTGTTCTGGAAGTGTGTACCGTCCAGGTCATTAGATGGGCATGCAACAAGCAAACGGAACAATTACAATGCCAGGTGATTAGAGCTGTAGAAGTGAATAGGCTGCACCCTAACTGTGATTGGAAGGCAAAACACAGAATAGCTGATTCTGGCTGAAGGACTTCACAAAGGCTTCAGTGAAGTGTCCATAAGTAGAGCTTTGGTATTAACTTTTCAGGTGAAAGAGGGAACAGGGGCTTTTTTTTTTTTTTAATGAAAGTCTACACTAGACTGGTGGTTCCCAAAGTGAGATCTGTGGGCCAGCAGCATCCATATCACCTGTGAACTTGTTGAAAATGTAAACTTCTGAGCCCTGTCCTCATTCCAACTGAATCAGCCGTCTGAGTTTTAACAAGCCCTCTAGGGCGTTTCTGATGCACAATCAAGTTTGAGACTCCCCTGGGCCAGATCATAAAGGAAGTGGCAAGAGGTGGAAAGGTGATGGTGAGAAATAACCTTCCATAGTAAACTGAGGTCGGTTCATGGCGGACTTTGTAGGCCATGCTGAGAAATGTCATTTTTAATCTATTAATAGCTACCTTTTCATTTTTATTAAGGATAGCCCTGAACCAAGCATTTTTACCTAGATCATTTCATTCACTCCTCAAAGCAACTCCTTAGAAGAGCGCTGCGTTTTTGCTCATTTAACATATAAGGATTCGCAGGCACAGGAAGGCTATGCAATTTGCCCCAGGTTACAGAAGCAATGTTTGTACTCAGCATCATACACTGGAACCTTCTTTGTTACTGCTTTGCTGAAATACCTTCTATAGAGAAAGACCCTGGGCAGTGGGGCCACAGGGTGAGGGGGTTGAGACACTGGAGGGGCTGAAGTAGATCTGTGGTCCTATTAGTGTTTCAGGGCACTCTGCCAGGTGGTAGCTAGAAGGATCCCCTGGACAGCATTAGTATTTTGATGACAAGGTCAACTGCCAAAGAGGCACCTCATGGAGGAATTTGGGATATTTCATTGCTTTGTTGAACAAAAAAGCACTAAAATGAAAATTTTAATGTGTTCACAGCATCCAACATTTCACAGCATTAATGCCAATGAACGTAAGCAGCTCTGAGACCAGAGGCTCATTAAAGTAATTATTCATTAGTGGCTTTTTTTTTTCCTTTTCCTTTTTTTTTTTTAAAAAAAAAAAAAAGCTTGTATTCTAAAGGCAGGGCTTTCCTTTTCAAGACCATTACTTTTCAACCCATTTAATGTTTCCTTGTAGGGTCACGATGTTAATTTTAAGGTTATGTTTTAATGGCTTTCTAAATGACACTTTCATTGTAGTAAAATGAATGCATCAAGTCACTCTTGCAGGTGGGGATGTACTACTGACTCATAGTTAGAAGGGTAGGAAAATTTCCAAACTATTAATTTGAAAATGTATTAATAACCTGCATATTAAAGAAAGTGAATAAAAGCAGTGCTGTTTTCAGCAAAGCTATTAGTGTTGGGAAAGCTGCGTCTAAATTGCTTTCTAGCTCCCCTATAGACAATTGCTTTTGCTCATTTTGAAACCCCCTAATTCTCACTGAGAGATTCGTTTTTAAAAGGGACTGTTTTTATAGAAGTTACAAATTTGGGAAATATTTCTGCTTCTGCTAAACTAACCAAATTCTTATTCTTGGCCTAAGACAAAATTATTCATCTTTCCTGGCCAAAGATGTCTTTCTGGTGGCCTCATGTGACCCTGTGTGAGAAGCCTTAGGTTCTAGTATGGTTTTCAAGGAAGTATAAAGGCAGGTGAAAAAAAAAAAAATGCACCTGTGAATTCACTTCTATGCTTAGTGAATTTGTGGCTCTGCTACAAATGTACCAATTTTAGAGATCGTCAAATAACTGTGCATGAAAATATAAGTGGAAATATTAATACCACAGTCTAAAGCCCAACCATTCACAAAAGTTGATCTTATAAACTCACCTTAGTAAGCCCAACATCCCAGGAAATTGTGGCTGCCTAGTCTTTCTTAACTGTACAATTGCAATTTAAAATGGTAATCTTTGGGGTTTTCCTCTATATAATTTTTAAACTAAAATAAAATGGATACGGTTTAGCTTAGAAATTAAACAAAAAAAATTGCAAAATATTCCAAGCAGATCTATCTGGTGATGTCATTACAGTTGTGTTTATTTTTATTAATTACTAGGCCATTAGCATTCTTGCTATCAGAAATGAATGTGAGTTCTTTTTGTTTGTTTTTTCTCATTTATAATTCTTCCATGTGAAATAAACAAGGAAAGATTAGAATCGGGGAAATACATGCCATGTGTTTTTCTCTAGCTTTATTTATATTATTTAACACCAAGGACATTTAGAGGGAGAAAATAAGTCACAAAAGGTCAAGCTGAAGGAAATATATGAAAATAGAAAGGACATCTCAACCATTTGCCAAGAAATGAGGGAGAATTTGGAAGCTGGGAAGGGAAGATGTGGGACTGGTGTGGTGCCAGCTGGCTGAGACACCTCCTTCTTCCTCAGTGGCTGTCTCCCTGAAATATGCCCAATCATCTATTCATATCTCCCCTCCCTAAGCCCACGCTCTATCCTCATATCTATGTCCTGGTTTGCCTTATTGTAGGGATGGCTCAAGTTCTTATATCTACAGAAGTTTGAATTCCCAGCTTCTCTGAATATCTGTATGACATTTTGAGGGTTGCTTCAAACCCAGTGAAATATGGCACCTACTATCTTCCCTTTAAGTCATCAAAAGTCTGTGGACATCTAAGCAGAAATACAGATTAGGATGAGTAAACCTTTATGAGGCAAAGCTTCACTTTGTGTACATATACTATTAATAAGAAACATACTTTATCCCCAGAACTCTACCCTCAGTTGTTGGGAAAAAGTATTTTAGAATATTCTGTTACTAACCAGCTGTGTGACCTGCAGCAAGTGTTAATCTTGCTGAGCCATTTTAGTTACCATAAGTGGACTTAACAATTATACTGAGAAATGTTGTGAGAATTGGATTAGAAGTTGTATAAGAGACCTAGGGAAGGGTCTAGGACAGACTTGGCACTCAAATTATGTTGTCTCCCAAATGTACAAAGCAAGCTGCATACGGACGATTACAGTCATCAATGGATACTTCTGTATATGCGTGTGTATATATCTATGTATAGAATATGTATGTATAGAATATATATCAGCAAAAGTATTGAATCAGCTTAGGAGAAATCAAAGGACACAGCATCTAATCCCAGAAATGTACAGGGACAAAGAACTGTGCAAAAACATTTTGTTAAATAGGCTCTATAAGGGTCTATTAGAATCAAACAGATTCAGGGTCTCCTCTTGGCACCTACATAACATCAAAGATACAAAATTCCGCTCCAACTCATTCTTTAGTGAATCTTGCCTGAACCTTAGACTCCCTCAGTTCTTCCTGGTACAGACCATGATGCACCCTGCACTTTGCATTTGCAGAGTGCATCAAAGTTACTGATCGTGTACTTAATCTGAATAATTACTTGCTTCTTCCATTGGCTGTAAGCCCTGTGAGAGTGAGCAGAGTTCTGAAATCCCTCTGCCTTCAATCGCTTTTGGCCTTTGGGTCTCTCACTGTAACACATTCCTCCCAGGGACATTCTCCATGTCTCTACTGACATCTCAGACTTTAACACACATCAGAATCATTCAAGGGGCTTGTTTAAACACAGTTTGCTGGACTCTTTTCTGATATGACCCAAAAGAACTTGGCATTTCTAACAACTTCTTAGGCGATGCTATCATTGATACTGCAGGAACATCACTTAACATGTCTAGAGGCTGTACACATACCTAGTTCCACGGTGGGGAAATAACGTATTTTTCAAAGCACCACCAGCCAGTTTTAACCAAACTGTGATGCCCATGATGAAGTCTCTGTAGAACGTTGCTGCTGCTCCTCACATTTAGCTATCTTAGATCTTACAAATAATGAAAATAATAATAATAATAGAAATTATATTTTTAGACAATGGAGAAACCAACTATTTATTGAACACTGGTAATTGCTAGACATTGTTGAGGCTCCTGACATTGATGACCCTCATTTGCATGGTGTGTATGTACTACCACCTTACTAGATTACAAGCTCTCAGGGATAAGCAGATGGAACCATTATAACCCTCATAGCATCTAGCACAGAGCTCTCTTTATAACAGATGTTCAGGAGAGTTTTACCAAAGGAAAGAGCGAATAGTGTATTGAAAGTTAAAAATAAATAAATGACACTCATTTTTATAAGATCTTTATAAGCCACAGAAGAATATTACATGGGAGGCAAGCATGCAGTAGAGTTGTATATTGAATGCCTACAATGGGCAAGGTTTTATATAAGGTTGTATTTTATATCAATTTTAATCTGCAATCTAGGAAAGGGAATAAGATGAATCCATAAATAATTACATCTCAAGATGAACATAAAATAAAACAACACCAACAAATTGCTGTGGGAGTCACAGTTTAATATTAGGAAGATGGACCAGGAATAATACATTGAAAAAATCTCCTTCTGTCTTTACAAAAACTTTTATGGTTTCTGTTTTTATTTTTTAGAATTCTAGAATTTTAAAGCTGAGAAGTACCCTTAAATAAACTTTTACCTAACCCATTGATTTATGGATGAGGAATCTGAAGTCCCGCAAAAAAGTAAAGACCCCAAGATCACACAGTGGAAACCCACCTCACTTGAACGCAATGACAGTGGTAGCATATGGAAATATTCTCCATATAGACACTACTGGTCAGTGTCATACAGGAAGATGCAGAAATGCATATTTATATTGATTGAATTTTTTAATTGTACTTTTACTCATTCAGGGCTCAAATCAGATTGATTTAGAGTTAGAAGTTCTTTAAAGATCCACCTTTTTCATAAAAATTGAAAATGTATTGCCAATGTTAAAAGTGCTGCAAGGTGGTATAACTTGCTCTAGACATAAATATAATTTTTCTTGTTTCTTTTTCTGTACTTTTGGCAGAATCATTTCCTTTCTGCATATACCTGTATAAACCTTTATATAGAAGCAGAATTTCAGATGCATTTATCTACTTTTGAGGAGGAAAAAATTGCACTGGGAGATTATGAAATGCAATATTTTTGGAGCTGAGTTAAATAGGTATATTTTTAAAGTAGAATATGAGGCATCCCTTTAGAGTGGGTTTTCCTAAACATATCCTACCCCGTGGTATAAACCAGAGGATACACTGCAAAAGTTTATGAAGGTTCATTTATTCTAGACTCCTCCCTTACTGAGTTATATCACAGGTTTATCACAACTTGAAATAGGCCTTTAAGATCATGGGTCAACAGAAGAGAGGAAAATCACCAGAGTCTGACTGTTCATAGAAAGAATATGGTAGCAAACAAAAGACTCAAACCAAAAAGACAAATGAAAGACAAATGTTATCCGTGTGTGTGTGGTTTTGTTGTTTTCTTTTGTTTGTTTATTTTTTGAGACAGAGTCTTGCTCTATTGCTCTAAGCCCCAGGCTGCACTGCAGTGGCACGATCTTGGCTCACCGCAACCTCTGCCGCTGCCTCTGCCTCGGGTTCAAGCGCTTCTCATGCCTCAGCCTCCTGAGTAGCTTGGATTACAGGCTCCTGGCACCACGCCTGGCTAATTTTTTTTTTTTTTTTTGTATTTTTAGTAGAGATGGGGTTTCGCCATGTTGTCCAGGCTGGCCTTGAACTCCTGATCCCAGGTGATCCACTCGCCTTGGCCTCCCAAAGTGCCGGGATTACAGGTATGAGCCACTGCACCCAGCCCAAAAAGAGAAATATTGTCTATGATGCTGAAGAAGAAGTGAATTCTGAAGATGATAATCGTATTTTTCCTGCAGTTTACTTCTCCAGGTGTTACTCTCCACATCAATATCAATTTGTGAATTTGCCTCATTGAGAAACATTACAGGTACAGCTCACACCTTTATAGCTCCACATCAGAAACACCATTTAAGGTCCATGAAGTCCTGTATAATGTGAACCCACCTTTCAGGATGAAAGCTGCCTCTAGAAATAGGCAAATCTTAATGATTTGGGGATCATCAAAAGTCCCTTACTCCCCCTAAATGTATTACTTTCAATTAGCTACGATGCTGACCTCCAAATCTACTTGGCTTCCTAATTCTACCATTAGTCATTCATTTGAGTTAGGTATTAACCATCAAAGGTCACCAATAAAATGTACACATGCTATGTGGAAGGAGAACATGGAACATTAACATCCATTTACACATTTGCCTGGATTTATTAGGTTCATAAGCTGTCATTTGAGAGCACAGCCTACAAGAAACAGAATGCACAGAACAGGTAAGTCAGCCCGGGGAGGGTGGGGGTCAGAGAGAGGGAGGAAGAGAAGGAAAAGGACAATAGAGTTAATGGAATATATGCAAATATCAAATGGGGCAGCCTGCAACTTGGCTACTGTAAACCCTAGCAGGAAATATGCAGGGAAAAATTGGCAAATGAAATAAATTTCAATAGGCTCGGTGTATTGTTCAAGCACACGAATCTCAAGAGATTCACTCCATTTTATTTTTTACTTGTAATTAGTGAGGTAAATACACAAATTGGGACCTTAGGTCTCAAAAATCAAAGGTTCTAGGGATGCTTTACCAGGGTTTAGATTTCAACTGTGCATTTATTTGTAAATTAAGGTGTGTGCAATATATCCATTAGGTTGAATGCAATACTACGGGCAGAAATCTGAACTCAAGTAATTTAATCTTTCTGCCTCATTTTATCCATCTGGAAAAAAAATAGCTATAGCTATTTCCTACCAATTCTCACAGGGTTGGTACAAGATTTAAATGAGCTTCGCAATCTTTTTTGAGATTCTCTAGAAGCTGCTTGCAATATATCAAAGTATTTAAACTGTGTTCCCCATTGTATCAATTCAAAGTACTTGTCAGCACCCCATGAATGTTTTACTAAGGTCACTTGAAGGAAACACACTTATTCCAGGTTTCTATTTTCCACTCTAATCTATACAGAGGAAAGTTTTTGATCCTATCAGCTGTTTGATCTTGTCAGTTATAATCAAGGAGTTTCCTATAAAAAGAAAGAAAGGGCTATGTACTCCTAGAGACTTTCAAAAGCACTGTGCTAAGAACCTGGGGACTGAGGTTCTAGCCCCCTCACTTTTGACGGCCTGGGGCCACTGAGCAAGACCCTAAGACTCCCTTCCCAGTGAGATGGGGAAACATAATTTGGCCTGTGCCCAACTCTCCCATCTTCTCAGGTACTACTGTTTCTCTCACTCACAGTGCCCTTGCCCTGCAGGCCTTCTTTCTATTCCTCAAACACTCAAGCTACTTTTAGCTTTAGGGTCTTTGCACCTGCCACTCACACAGCCTGGTGCATTCTTCTGTCAGATCTTGGCCTAACTGGCTCTTTCTTCTCATTCAAGTTCAGCTAAAAAGTCCTCTTTTCTGAAGCGATTCCCCTAACTGGCCACCCCACTGCCAGGTTTTATTTGTTTCCCATCACCACACCCTGCTTTTACTGCTTTCATAATCTTCAGCTGCCATTGGATATGATCTTACTTATTCATTTAGTTACTGCCAATTCCCACTGGAATAGAATCTCCATGAAAGCAGGGGCCCCATCTGTGTTGTTAAAAATTAAAAATCTAGCACTAAAAACAAAAACACACACACAAAGCAACCTGGACACATCTTTCTCCTAGGCAAACATTTCTTGAAGAAATTAATGAAGTATCTTGCCACCGAGAGTTAAGTCACGTTGTTGTTTTGTTTGTTTGATTTTGCAGCTGCACTCCTAACTAGATCTTTGACTTTAGCTCATTAATGCCATGAGTGTGGATTCTTCATGGTAAGAAATGGATGCATGAGGCATAAGTACTTCTGCTCTGCCCTGCTGCATCCATGATGGGCATCTTTAGTTGTCACTCTTTCCCACAGAGCCAGATGGACCTCACATTGTTTATTAACACAACACTCCAAGCAGCCAATCTTAAGAGTTTAGTGATGGCATTGAAGATAAAAACTTTTCTGCTTCCACTTCATTAGATGATCTCTAGTGGCCTTTTCAGGATCTGCTATACTATCTGTTACTGAAGACCAGAACCAAAGATAACACATTGAAAGTTCCTCAAGTTAAATCAAAAGTGCCCAAATATTAGGTCCATGCATCAGACCTAGAGAGAGGGCAGCAAGAGGTACTGCCACGGAATCTAAATCATAAGACCATAAGATGGCATGAATGTCTCAGAAAGACAACTCCTGATGACTAATTACTTATTTTCCTCTTCTGAATTTCTAGACAGGCTAGATAAGATTTTCCAACATTTTGAGGAACAGCAAGCTTCACTTTTGTGATTTTCCTCGATTCAGATTAAGAATTTCCATATTAATTCCCACTTCCCCTCCTCTCCCACAGCCTCCTCATTGTTTCCAGCCTCACTTCTCTCGTGGAGCTTTGCTAGTTTGGCCTTTTATTTAGCTTTTTCTAGTTTGGCCTTCTCCTAATTTTTCCTCCATACACACAAGACTGCAGTTTATAAAATAACATTTCTACCTTTCCAATCATATCACTCCCCTACCAAAAATCTTTCAATGGCTTTCTTTCCCTTTCAAGGAATCACCTACACTATTTAACCTGATTTGCAGAGTCCTTCTTAACCTGGGCATCTATGGCATGTACCTTCCTCTTCACCATCCTGCCTAGCCTACCTGCCCTCCATGGCTCACTTCTCTTTCTCTCTGTTCAGTGTTCTCTATCCCACCCTATTTGGTTTAGCTTTGCCTACGAGGCTCGACTCCCACATCTCTTCCCCTGAAGATCCTCTCTATCTCCAAGCCCCATTCCCAGGTTGGGATGAAGGTCCTTCCATGCAAACAAAATACCCTATGTCTACACTGATCACATTTCTTGTCACATTACCTTGTATCATATTTCACATTCTCTCTTCCACCAGACACGGTTCTTAGAAAACAGACATGCTGGGTGATTCATCTCTGCCTCCTCCACGACCAGCACAGTGGCCATCCACAAAGCAGGTTGCTATGGTTTCAAGGTGTCACCTCCGAAATTCAGGTGTCAAAATAATAGACAATGTGATGATATTAAGAGGTGGGGCCTTTAATAAGTGCTTGGGTCATGAGGTCACCTCCCCTCAGGAGTATGATTAGGGCCCTTATAGAAGAGGCTTCACACATTACAGCATCAGTCAGGGTTGGCCCTTCCATCTTCCACCAAGTGGAGCACTCCTCCCCTGCAGAGGATGCAGCCCTCACCAAACAACTGAACCTCCTGGCACTTTGATCCTAGACTTTTCCGCCTCCAGAACTGTGAGAAGTAAATTTATGTTTTTTATATATTATCCAATCTCAGGTGTTTGATTAGAGCAGCACAAAATGGACTAAATGCGGATTACTAGTAAATTTTTAAAATGTGACCTATTTCCTGTTTTGAGGGTCTGCCCATCTCTGAACTTTTTCTTTCACCTTGCGTTAAATCACCACCACGTAGAAAGTGCTCACTACCTATTATGCACTCAGCCTGAAGTTTAAATGTGTGATTTTTATCATAAAACACTTTCAAAGTTATGTTGCAGGCAATGTTTTACATACTTTAGTAATATTAACTAATTGTATCTGTATTTGAAATAAGTACTACTAATGTCATCATTTTTATAGATGAGGAAACTGAGGCAGAAAGGGACCAAGTAACTTGTCCAGGGTGACACAGTTCACAGGGAGTGAAGTGGGGATGTGACCCAGGTGGTTCTTAGAATGGAAGCATACGTGTATAGACACAGGAACAATCCCTGGTTGAATCCTCTGATTGCTGTATTAGGTAGAACCAATTATTAGAACTAGCCAAGTCTTTGTCAGCTTTTTCTGCCTTCACAATCAAAAAGCCTTCCTTATAAATACCATTTCCTGAAGTCCTTCTTAAGAATAAACAGGGGATGGACGAGGACTCACTCCCCAAGAAAGGGTGGGAGAAGACAAAGCAAGATACACAGAACTCCGTACTACCCTTGCTAGGCAATATCTGCTCCCCTCCCTTCCCCTTCACTTGTGATATATTGGAACATAAGCAGCATTGATACTCATGAGAAAAATTACAGTCATCAAGGTTATCTCCCCAAGAAGCAACTCTCTTTCTTTATTAATTTGCTTCAGATTGTTGCAACACTACGAAGCCAAAAATAAGTTTTCTTTGATCAATAAATTGTAGGCTGAGAAAGAAAATACTAATTTTCCATTTCTTTGAGACCCAGCACTAATATATAACTGAGCTTTCCAAAAGGGTTCTCAGAAACCTGATATAGAATTATCTGAAATTACACTTGACTATCCCTACGAGATCATTCTGTTCTCTGCCACTTTAGAGGGGTGTCTTCTGGACTTGGCAAGCATTTTTTATAGAATTCTTTGTGTACAGATATATTTTTCTATTTCAGTGCAAGCTGGGTAAAGAAAGCATAATTCATCTCTAAGTCCGTCTCTAAGAGAAAGATTGTTGAGTTTCTCTCTCTCCTCTGTCAGTTTTAGGCATCAAAACATACCTCTTTCAACTCCAAGAGAAACTTCATTTTTAATCTAATATAGAAAGGGCTTTCTTTTCATGCAATAAAATGTATAGAATATCAAATAGCCTACAAACTGGAAGAATACTATGAATAACTATGAATAGTCTTGATAAAATAACAGCAACTATACTGGAGGCTCACTTAGTCATATAAAAGAAAACACATTTTTAAAATCAGAGAAGTAATATTGGATAGTAGAAAGAAGTGTATAGAGGCTTAAACCTAGGATTAGGACTGCGGTGTTTCCTTTGCCCATGGTGTGGATGTCTCATTTAACCTCTCAAGACTTCCTTGGTTGCCTAACTTCTAAAACTATGGTTCTCAACCAGGGTTGATTTTTGTCTCATGGGGACATTCGACAGTTTTGGACATGTATTCACAACTGGGTGGGGGAGGGGGAGGGGATGATCCTGACATCTAGTGGGTAGAGTCCATGAATGCTGCCAAACATCCTATAAGCCATGAGCTACTCCCCCACAACAAAGAATTACCTGCCTTACAATGGTAATAATGCTGGTGTTGAGAAAACCTGCTTTAAAAGCTGTAGGTGATGACCTCTAAAGAGTCTATCATCTTTGTGATCCTAAGAGGTAAGGTCTAAACACCAGACCTATCCATCCTTTCTAATTTCCACAAGCACCAGGGAGTTTGGCTTTTATCATGTTCACCTCTATGTTTTTATGGTTAGGCTTCTTTTTATTTATTATTATTTTTTTTTGAGATGGAGTCTCGCTCTGTCGCCCAGGCTGGAGTGCAGGGGTGCGATCTTGGCTCACTGCAAGCTCCACCTCCCGGGTTCACGCCATTCTCCTGCCTCAGCCTCCCAAGTAGCTGGGACTACAGGTGCTCGCCACCACACCTGGCTAATTTTTTGTATTTTTAGTAGAGATGGGGTTTCACCGTGTTAGCCGGGATGGTCTCGATCTCCTGACGTCATGATCCACCCGCCTGGGCCTCCCAAAGTGCTGGGATTACAGGCGTGAGCCATGGCGCCCAGCCTGTTTAGGCTTCTTAACCCCTATGAGGAAAGGTCACAGCAAAAATTTAACTGATTCAGTGAATTACTTAACAGATATTTATTGAGAGTCTTCAATGTTTAGATTCACTTTTGCAAGGCCTTAGGTATACCACCATGAACAGCTGAGGCAGCACTTAGAAGCATTCCTGAGTTCTCATCTGCAGTATCTTTAAATCAAATTTCTGGATTTAGTGGGTTAAATTCTTCAAGTACCATGAACTGCATTTGAATAACGAAAACTGATTCATCACCATGCAAACTACAATAGTTATCAAATAAAACATTCTGGTGGCAAACTTCAAATTCTTAGTAATTTCAAAGACAAGATAGCCTGAACATTTGTTTTCCCAGACACATGTTGTGAAATTAATTACAATACAATAAAGTCTTCTAATGTCAGGCTAATTGAAAGGCCAGATGAGTGGAAAGAAATTTTTGAATTATTAGATCTCTGAAGACAGTAGTTTTGCGTTACTTCACATTCCCAAAGCACTTTTTTTTTTTTTCCAGGACTGAAACAAGTATCTACTGCTCATTATTTTACCCACTTCATAAGTGAAGAAATTGAGATTCGGAGACAGGATATCCCGAGCCAGGCTACCCAAAGGTTGGAGTGAGGGACTACTTTAATGATTCAATCCAAATGATTTATAACTATTGTACCAAAGCACCAGCTCAACGGATGGCCTGTGACAGTCACTGAAATGTACCACTCAAGTCTTCCACTGCAGGGTGCAACATTCCAAGCTGCTGTCTCTCTGGGCCCACTACCACATTCACACAGAATTCTTGCTTCTTCTGGAATGTTCCCAGCCAATGACTGTGCAGGCCCCTTCCTGTGGGACATGGGTTTCCTCCAACAGATAACTTTGGCTGGGGGACTCTGCAACAGCCTGGCCCAAACTTTCTTGGAACTGTACGGCAATCTGAGACTTGCTCCTTAATCTGCCTTCCTTCCTCTCCTTCTGTCACAGGTGACAGACCTACATTATGGTCTGAAAGCTTTCCTTGCTACGCCTACTTCCTTCTGTTTATCCTTCAAAGTCCTTTCCCGCAATAAATCTCTTGCATGTACAATCCCATTTTGGCATCTGCTTCTCAAAGAATTTGAACTAACCTAGGGCTTTTCTGTCCCAGGCAGAAATAAACATTCTCAGAGAGCTTACCATGTGCCAGACAGCGTGCAAATTATTTTAAAAGTATCTCCCTTAATTCTCACAACAGTCCTATTAGGTGTGCATGTGTCATTATTCCAATCTCCGAGCTGAAGGACTCCCTCAAAATTTCTCAGTTATTTCCCGGCAACCTAGGCTTCAAACGTAGAGGGTCTGATACTATAGACCCAAGTTCTCTTGACCCCTATTTTATACTGCCCAAACCAAGTTTATTTATTAAAGGTAAGCATCTCTACTAAAGCCTATTTAAATTCATCCTCCAATTAAAATTCTTTTTTTCCCAACATTTCTTAAGCTACGTTTTCTCACACCATAATTTATTTTCTGTTTTTAAACTTATTTTTAGATTCCCAAATAATGCATGGACATGTTCTTATTGTAACAGAATCAAACAATACAGAGGCAGAAGTATTATTTATAACCAGCTAACTACTGACCGTAGCTTTTGAGGAGGTGAATTTCAATGAGTAGTTCTTTAACTGAATTAGTTTTTTATTCCAAATGAGTCAAGTTTAGTGATACTTGAACTTACAATTTGAATCTTGGTGTTTGGCTGAGAATAAATGATGAGGCCCTGAGGGACCGTGGGTGCCCTGGATTTTAAGGAGAAAACCCAGGGGAAAATGCAGCCCTTCGTATCAAGAATAAATGCACACAAGTGCAGTGAGGAGCCAATCTTTTAAAGGAGATGAAATGTCAAGGCAGGTGCCCTCAGAATATTTTTTTAAAGCTGAATTGGAAATTTCTCCCCTCTCAGAAATCATTTTGTAGACATGGAGACCAGCCCAGCCTCTTGAATTAGACACCCACAACCAGCTCCGGTTGCCTAACTTCTTCGGAGTCTCCTTCCTGTGATCTTTCCTTTATTGTGCAAATTCAACTTTGGTCACCTACACACTCTTCTGTAACAAAAGTTTCTTATTTTTAAACGTATGATCTTGGATCTCAGCTTCAAGGTCTTCCTGGAGTTTAGCAGGGATGACTTTGTTTTTTGCAAATCCAGGTTGACTCCTGTACTCTCACCTGATGCTAATGCCCTTTACTTCTCATTCAAAGTTTTAGAATATCTTCTCTCAGCAAACAGAGAAAGCATTGCTAAGGCATATCCCCTTCTCCACTGCCACATTTCAACTTTATCTTTTCACTTTCTCTGTCAAATTCAAATGTCACTCCACTATTCATGTGTATGTGGAGGATTCTAATATACACCTCTTTGGCTTCTTTCAAAATTGCTTCAATTTCTCTGAAGTCAAAGGCCTTTTCAAGTTTTGGAAATTATCTATGGAATCCATTAACATGACTTACTCAGTACACAATACACATGCTGTTGAGGGCTCAAGAGAAAAGAGAGAAGGTAAAGTTTTGTTTAAAAAGAAAGCAAATAAAGATTTAATTTTTTAAAAAGCAAAAAATAAAAAGCAAAGGAAGATTTAATGAGTACTTTTTTCATGAAAAATTCTAACACATATGGGTAAGACCTCTGAATAATTGTTCCTTCTTGTAGAGATAAATTCGCATAGTTAATTTTAACTGATATCTCTTCTAGGAGATGACAGTGATTATTTTCCTGATAATACAAGTGAAACTTCAGTAAATTTAGCTCTTGCAAGTGAGTTTTTAATTCTAAGAGTTGGCTGAATTAACTCTTTCCGATTTTTCACAAATAAATTAAAATCTGGTTAGATCCACCTTTCCTGCTCTAAAAATGAAGCAATAATTTAAAGCCATGTTTTTAAAGACTACTTATAGCTATGGGAAACACTCAAAGTGTTACTGAATGAAAAGGGCAGGGTTCAATACTATATATATACTATAAACTCGATTTCTCAATGTGGATGAATGCATGAGAGACAGAAGAAAAACGTTTGATGGAGAACAAAAAAACAAAATGATCTTTCTGAAAATCGATGTGGCTCTTTTTGGTGGTTGACTGGGGAAGGGAGCAGTCATAACATTGAAAAATTGAGGTCCATTGTTTAGGTCTAAGGAAGGCTGCAGGTCATCCCTCTTGTGGCCACACCCTTGAGAGGAGCACAGTGGAGACCTCAGCTTGCTCTAATGTACTCTTTGCATATACTGATTTTTACAACCCTATTTATGCCTCATCAAGCTTGTGAACAAAACTGACAGTTGTCTACAAGTTTTATTCTCATCATCTTTGAACTCATTCCTCGTCTTCTAGGACTAAGGATCAGACAGTTAACCATGGTTATCTTTGGATGTGAAGAGGGAAAATACCCCCTTATATTTTATAAATTTTCTATGCATATGTATTGCTTTTGTCATCAAAATATCATAAGGTAAAATAAAAGATTACAGAAATTTTACATAAAGTTAGAGGAGTCTGACATTTCCCATGTATTTAACATTTTTTTTTTTTTTTTTGAGACAGGATCTCGCTCTGTTGCCCAGGATGAAATACAGTGGTGTGATCATGGCTCACAGCAATGTCAGCCTCCCAAGCTCAGGTAATCCTCCCATCTCAGCCTCCCAAGTAACTGGGACTACAGGTGCATGCCACCATGCCCAGTTAATTTTTTGTATTTTTTTGTAGAGATGGGGTTTCACTATGTTGCCCAGGCTGGTTTCCAATTCCTAGGCTCAAGTGATCCGCCTTCCTCAGCCTCCCAAAGTGCTGCTATTACAGGTGTGAACACCTCTCCAAACCTTATTAAACGTTTTAAAAGCATGAATCGCCTAAGCCTTCAGGGCAATCCAAGAGACAGACACAAAATAAGGACCCCTGGCCCTGTCATTGCCTTTACATGTGATTCCCTTTGCAGCTCTCACTCCTTTTCTCCCAAATAACTAGATTATACCATTAAACTCACCTCTTTGGTAATTATCCGTCCTCAGTTAACATTTTGAGTCCCTGGTCAATAACAACTCCCGGGCAGTGACCTGATTCCTCTGTTTCCCACTCCCTTTGACTCCAACACACTCTTACCTGAAACTGCATTTTTGTCAACTCATCTAATGCTGGTTCCAACTCCCTTATATACACATCTCCTTTAAGGTATGAGGATTTAAAAGCATAGACACTGTTTTCCAAAGAACACTATCTTTCTCTCTCACTTTTACCCTTATTATGATGTGCCAATTTGATTATGATGCACTTGGAAAGAGGCCATTGTCATGATGTTCTATCTATTTGGCCCACATGTCTTGATGCCACACCTCTACTCTAATTGCTCCATTCATACTGTGAATTTTCCAATATTCCGTTAGGAAAGCTCCCTGGAATTTCAGAAGAGCAGCATGATGCCAGATTGTATGGATTGGAACACTGTCAATTCGTGAGATTCAACTGGCAATATTAAAGAATTAATTATAATGAAAATGCAAAGAAACAGAATTTCAGTGAATTCCATCTGGAAACAGTCTTTTCATAGGCCTCATATAATTTTTTGATCCAACTTAGTCTCCTATTTTTCTCTTTTGTTCTTGTAATGTGAAATATCAAATACTATGAGATAGTGGACCGAAACATTTGATACAGGTTATCGTCAGATTTCAACTTATTCTCAAGACAATTTATTACCCCACAAAGGTGACTGTATCTAGCCTACATTTCATATGTACATGAACCTTTTTCCCCAAAAAGCCTGCCTTATATCTCAATTACTCTAAGATGTTATTACATAGAGAAGGACTGAATATGAGTCAATAGGAAACAGCTGAAAATTTGCACATCTTCTATTGAATTAAAACAGTTATTAATCTCAATGGGAAGAATCCATTTCCATTTACCACCGTGTGTGAAAAGGAGAAATACGGTGGTATTCATGCTCTGCCAAACAAAATTCTTTGCTGTTTACCTGAATGATTTTTTGGGTACATTGGCTCATCTCTCACGTTTAGGAACAATGATGAAGTTGTCGCCAGGAAAACAGCTTCTGTGTGTCATATATGGATTAGCCTCCTCTTTGCCCTGCAAGTTCACTGTCAATCATTTTAATGTCCCAGCCTAACATACATTTTGGAGTGTGTATTTTGGTGTCAGCTCACAATATGGCAGAATAAAGAAAAAAGTGACAAGGGAATTGATATCCAGTTAATGTCGAGGCATGCAAACATATGGCCAAGTGAACAAATTAGTAAATCGAATGCAGAAATTAGGGAACACATTATTTCTATTAAGTAATTTGGATGAGGCATAATAGGACGGAATGAAAACAATAAGAAAGGACATGATGCAGACAGATTCACTCAATAATTGTATTGTACTAGTGTGTAAAACAGTCTCATAAAGTTATCCCACCTAATCTACTGTAAAATGATTATATTTGAACCTAAAGATTTATTCAGAATGTCTGTGTTTTAGGATTTCTGTAACTTAAGTAAAGAGACAGAACTAAAGTACAGAAATTTGCATTTGTTGTTTGGAGTGTGAACTGTGTATACGTTTTATTAAAAACAACATTAAATGTGAACACTAAACACAGCAGATGACAAACCTGAGCCTAGAGAAGGGACTTGGAGAATCCCTTATTTACAGAAAATGGCTGTGAATTCCTGTTGATTTTCTTTGCGCAACAGGTGCTTCCTACGTGTAATACAGACCTTTGGATTTAGCTGACACTATAGGATATCATTTTATTATTATTTTTTACTCTTTGTATTATAATGAATAGACCAGATTTGCTAATAAAAACCATATCAGTGAACAAAAGAATTACAGGTACAGACTAAAGCTCAACTACTTACATGCATCAGTTGTTAAAACTGGCATCAGTAAGACCTTGCTCAAGGTCCAATTGTAATATTTTGATCTCTGGGTTATTAAAGAACTAGAGCAAACCCATTGATTTTATTCATAAATGGGAACAGTACCAGATAGCTATACCTAAATAAAACAAAATATAAAGGAATGTTTACAGAATCATTCCTTCAAAGGAATTTAAAGTAATATAATGTATCTAAAATATTCCAAGAAAATATAAATTCAGTGCTTTTTGTTAGTCAAAATTCTTTATTTCTTTGCATCTTCCCCAAAGAAGATCATTCAAGGAGATACTCATTTTGAGAGAAAAAGAGAGAGAGAGAACTCAAAATAATCCATGCTAGAGCAAAACAACCAGTCAAAGGAAAGAATGCATTTGCCTATCACATTTCTGTCTTTTTCTAACAATGAATGCAAGTACAAATTCTCAAATACTGAAAAATGAGTGCATGAGAAATGGCCATGCACAAATTTTCCATTATGTAGATGTCTCTTCTCTTTTTCTGAGTCTCCAAAAATGTTTTGATTATAAGGAAATAAAACACTATAGTTTTAGCTCCCAGGGACTGAAATTAAAAACACTGAAGATCCCACATAAGAGAATAAAATTAGGCAATGTCCAAGGCGATGAAGCTGGTGAGTGGCAGACATGGAGTCCAGTTCTTCTTCCAATGTATTCTGGAAATATTTTTGTTCTGATGTACTTACTACCCAATCAATTAACTGTATATTCTAGGAATACATATGCTAAATGCCTACAATATGTACATTGGCTCATAATATAATTAGATTAAATTGAGTTCTAGCATTGCCAGAGAACTGGGGAGTGGGAAGGGCCTTTTAAAACTTTGGTTCTTCATTGACTGCTATGAATCCTCTCAAGATAGGATGACTTTGAATGGTGATGCACCTACATGTATCTCTTCTTTGTCCTTTTTATCTCTGACAAAAGGAACCGGACTGTCTTTGCTAGAGGAGCATGTCTCCAGCCCTTGTACATTGTCATCCCCCAGTACACAAGACTAGGGATGAAAAAGGTAAACAAAAACTGTTTTATTTTATCTGATATATCAAATCTAAAACTTAAATTGTTTGAGATTTATCACCAGATTCAGTGGTGGACAATTTGACATAAAAAGGATTAGCCAAAGGGCAAAGATGGAATGACCATTTCTCTGTTGGGAGCCCTCGGCCTCCCCACCCCTGCACCCTGCCTTGCCAGATGCTGGTTAGGTATCCTGGTAAGGGCAAAAGAAATTGACAGGAGACAACTTAGAAAGTTACCCTATTTGGGAGCATATAAGGTTCTTTATTTAAGCCACTCTGAAAACTCAAGAAAATAAGACTTTTCTAATTTCATGGCATGAGATTACACCATATGGCCAATACAATTCTCAAATATTCTTCCAGCCAAAAGATTTCTGCCTCCATTTCCATTACTCCAAGGCCCTAAGGACCACACTTGAGATAGGGATGGGGAGCATAATAGTTACTAGCATCCTATGCCAAAATTGGAGAAATTCTGGTACCATAACGAAACATTGAAAAACCAAAGAATGGATGTTCCATTCACTTTTATTAGGATGAACGTGAGAAGTGAGTTGTATTAAAGGGTTTATAGCACTGAAAAACCAAAGAATGGATGTTCCATTCACTTTTATCATTAGGATGAACGTGAGAAGTGAGTTGTATTAAAGGGTTTATAGCACTGAAAAACCAAAGAATGGATGTTCCATTCACTTTTATTGTTAGGATGAACGTGGGAAGTGAGTTGTATTTAAAGGGTTTATAGCATTTGAATTTAGGTAAGCCAACCTTCATAAATAATGTTATATTTTTGTTTAATGCTGAGGATATTTTAAATAAAATATCAACTTTCTGCTGTATGCAAAATTGATCCATATATGGCTAATACAGAGAAACAAGCAATAGTTTCAGAAATCTTTTAAGCTGAGCCAAAACTACTTTTTCTCGGTGAACATTTCATTACTCAGCATCCATTTTATCAAATGAGAGCTGCTCAGTTATAATTAGTTCTTGGGGGTTCTGTCCTCTTTACTTAAAAAAAAAAAAATTAAAAGATTTTAAAAGTGTTCTATTTGCCCATAAGGTCTAGCTGTATTAAACAGATAGTGCCTTACTATTTTCTAATATACAGTAAAAATACTATAAAGTTTTGCAATTAGTTAAAAAGTCAAAAACTCAGCAAGAAGTCCAGTTTTTCCTCTCAATTATCCGTTAATGAAGGTTTCAACGTTAATTGCCTTTTCATTAGAAATTCCTTAAAACCCTTCTGTACAAAATCAAATTAGCTACTAAGCTTTGGAACAATCTCTGTAATTCTGTTGTAGACTCCCCAGTTCATTATTTGGATTGGTAAGATTAAAGAGAAAGCATGTGCCTTTCAGATACTCCAAAAGACTGACTTTAAATTTTTTCGAGTTATTTTGGAGCTCTTTTATTCAGGCCTTCACTGAAAAAAAGTCATATTAGGCAGAATCCCATTATCATGAGTACTGATTTAAAAATGGCTACAGTATTGTAGAGCTATGCCCATGTCCCCTACGTCTTACATATGGGAATGGTGCTTTTGTGTATTTGTTGCTGCAAGGATGAGAACCTACTTGTGCAAGGCACGAGGCACCTAGCATTCTTCTTGTTTGGGACAAGAACTTCATCTCTGACTAAACTCTGGGAATCCCTGGGCAAATTACTGACGAAACTGCAGATTTTCTGTCTAACAATGAGGATAGTTACCGTATAATGTTACTGGATTAAAAATGGGGCAATGCAAGTAGGGCTTGTAGCACAGTGCAAGGCCCTGTGCTGGCTTTTGTGGGGAAGGCAAAGATAAGCCTTGCATTCAAAATACCCACAGTGGCCGGGCGCGGTGACTCACGCCTGTAATCCTAGCACTTTGGGAGGCCAAGGTGGGTGGATCACCTGAGGTCAGCAGTTCGAGACCAGCCTGGCAAACATGGTGAAACCCCATCTCTACTAAAAATACAAAAACTAGCTGGACGTGGTGGCCCGTTCCTGTAATCCCAGCTACTCAGGACACTGAGGCATGAGAATCACTTGAACCTGGGAGGCAGAGGTTGCAGTGAGTCGAGATTGCACCACTGCACTCCAGCGTGGGTGACAGAGCGAGACTCTGTCTCAATAAAACAAAACAAAAACAAAATACTCACAGTCAAGTAAGAGAGAAATAATGTGTATGGATGACTACAACGAAAGCAGAGAGAACGAGGGATCTTAAATAATATCCAGAAGTGAAGAGAGAGGAAAGGATAAGGGTAAATAAAGAACAGAAACAAATATCCATTGGCTGCCCTCTGTGGGCCGAGTCTTCTGCTGTGTACTTTTGAATAATTTTACATCAAAGACAAGGTTGGGCTATCCCGGAAGGCTCTGCAGATGTGAACTGGATGTCTTGCAGCTGAATCAGATTTGAACATTTTTATGTGAATATGGCTTAAGGGTACAGACTTTTGAGATAAGCAAGGATTTGAATTCTTCCTTGACATTGGACAAATTATTTTACCTCTTCAAGCCTCAGTATTCTCACTGGAATATGTAAGTGATAATATCTATTCCTCCAGATGTCTCCAAACTTTTTGATTTAACTGAGATAATTTATGCAAACCTTAGCCCCAAACCAGACACATTTTCCAAAATTCTTACCTAGTGGAAGCGAGAGGAACCAGAGCTGGACTTCATTTGTCAAAGTTCATCTCAACACATTATTTTTAAGCTTAAGAAAAATTTTTTGTAAAGCCATTTTATCTATATATCATACCAATCATAGAAATACAATGATAACCCTCTGAATCTTTATTCCTTTCTCTAGCATCTCTCCTGGACTCAGGATCCATATTTACAACACACTTGTTTATTGATCCTATAGTCACATTCTTTACATTCAAAACCAAATATATGTACTCCACCACGTACAACTTGTTTTCTTTCTTTCTTTCTTTTTCTTTCTTTCTCTCTTTCTTTTTCTTCCCTTCCCTCCTTCCTTCCTTCCTTCTTTCTTTCTTTCACGAAGTTTCGCTCTTGTTGCCTAGACGGGAGTGCAATGGCGCAGTCTCGGCTCACTGCAACCTCTGCCTCCCTGGTTCAAGCAATTCTCCTGCCTCAGCCTCCCCAGTTAGCTGGGATTACAGGCATGCACCACCATGCCTGGCTAATTTTTTTTTTTTTTTTTTTTGTATTTTTTAGTAGAGATGGGGTTTCGCCATGCTGCCCAGGCTGGTCTCGAACTCCTGAGCTCAGGCAATCCACCTGCCTCGGCCTCCCAAAGTGCTAGGATTACAGGCATGAGCCACCGCGCCTGGCTCTTTATTGTCTTTTTTCTTCTTCTTTTTCTTTTTGTTTGTTGCATTTTTGGCGTATATCAACAGCACTATCTTCTATGCAACCCTGCAATTCTTGCCAGTTTCTCCCATGTCCTTGTCCACTATAGATAATCAGTTCCTGATTGTAACTGAGAAATGTCTTTTGAATCCTTCCCTCCCCCACCCTCTTCACTGCCCTCCACCCTCTTCACCTCTATTGCCACAGCCCAGCTCAGGCTTTCACTGCCATCACCTGCAGAATAGCACTTGTGCACCAAAGTGCACCCTGCCTAGGACTTCTCCCCTGCTCCAGTGCATTTCACACCACCACCAAAGCTGGCATTCAAAAATAGAAGTTGAGTCATGTCAGTCACCTGCTTCAAATATTCAGTAACTCCCCAGTACCTCTAGAATTAAATCAAAATTCCTTAGTCTATCAGAAACTTTTTGATTCCAAATCACCTTTTTAGTCTCATTTCCCAATCAGCTAAGTTCTTCCTCCTGGCAATAGAGGTTATTAATAATACACTCAACATGCTATCTGTATTTCTCATTTCTACACCGTTCTTGCTTTTTGATTTCCTCTTTATTCTTAGGATACTGTTAAAATGTCATCTGCCCCCTAGACAGTCCCTCACATTCAGTGGTAGAGATTGCTGCCTCCTTTGGGGTCTATTATTGTGTGACCTCCTGAACCTTCAGTTTACTCTTCCACAAAATGGAACTAAATGATTCCTGTACCGAAAAGAGGACAGTTTGTGAACCAAATGGAGCAATGTTTATTTAATACTGGAAAACTATAAACCAATACAGGAATAGTACCAGGCACAGAGCCAAGAGCTTTATAGGCATTATCTCATTCAATCCTTAAATATTAAACAGATAACCATGAGTGAGGAAATGTGTTCTTATTTTCAAAAGAGAGCAAGAGAAAATGAAAAAAAAACTCTGTCGATTCACATCATTTTTCATTCATATTATAATACTTCACATTTCTCAAAGCTGCTTGCACACACATTCCTCCTTTGATCACTTTCTTTTTTTTTTTTTTTTTTTTTTTTTTTTTTTTTTTTTTTTGAGACGGAGTCTCGCTCTGTCGCCCAGGCTGGAGTGCAGTGGCGGGATCTCGGCTCACTGCAAGCTCCGCCTCCCGGGTTCACGCCATTCTCCTGCCTCAGCCTCCCAAGTAGCTGGGACTACAGGCGCCCGCCACTACGCCCGGCTAATTTTTTGTATTTTTAGTAGAGACGGGGTTTCACCGTTTTAGCCGGGATGGTCTCGATCTCCTGACCTCGTGATCCGCCCGCCTCGGCCTCCCAAAGTGCTGGGATTACAGGCGTGAGCCACCGCGCCCGGCCGATCACTTTCTTAAAAATCATATGTTATCCTAACCTAACAACACTTAATTACTTGATTTCAGCTTGTCCACTGCATAGTACCATAGGCTGTCCAACAGCAATCTAAAATTATGTTTAACTAGGCGTGGTGTTAGACTCACATTTGAAGGGTTAAAATGTATTAATTAATTATGTAAGTTAAAATTCCTCAGGAGCCTTGGGACAAAGGACCAATTCACAGAGCAGAGTGAGAATGAGAAAAAAGAACCTAATTAGGTGTGTAATTAACTCTTTCAGTAATGGGGTGATAATATCACACAATAAAAGCATTATGGATATGTTCAAGAACCAGCCAAGGTAACACTTGAATTTTTTTGAGAATACAACCAACACTGACATGAGAATTTAGCCTCTTAAGTCAAAAATTATAGACTCATTTAAACTACATCAGTATGCTACAAACATTTAGTGACCCTCCACAATTGCATCTACTTTTTTCCCTAATTAAATGCATTTTATCTATATACCTTGAAATACGTGTCTGACAAAACACATTTTCTCCATTGTTTTTGATAGACAGCAAATCTAAAATAATTCAAAGCAAAAATGTGCTTTGTGGAAGTAGCTTATTTCATTCTGGAGACTAAATGCATTTGCAGAAAGGATTACATTTTGTTTGGCAATTTATTTTATTGACAAAACATATTTCATCACATATTCCATCACATTCAGTAGACAAATGCATGTTGTCAAATACCCTATTTCCTGCTTTTGATGAAAACCACATATTTTTCAGATTCCATATATTTTTTAAATGGTGGAGTTCTACTGATAAGCTCCATTTGCTGTAATCTGGCCTGAGGTGTTTAGATTTGGATTCTAGCCAAGGTATATGACTTCTTCTTCCACTACAATGTAAATTAACCTCATAGGGAATATTAATGTCCATCTTCACCCATAAAAACATCAAAATTCAGTTTACACTGTAATCATTATGATAGGATCCTATTGACTAAACATAAAACTCAAATGGTTCCCATACACTCGCTAGCCGCTAAAATGCAATTACCCTTTACAAGGTAAGGCACATACAAAGTAAATATTTAATCTAACCTATTTGTATATCTGTTTAATGTTGGTAATTCAATTATTGTGTGTCCTTTCCATATTTGCCCTCATTCCTGATGTATGTATTAAATTATGAATAAGTTCTTAGAGGTCAAGAAAGTGATCTGTGTAATTTATTCTGAGGAACACTCAGCACAGCGCTTCGAGAAAACAAGTGCTTAACAAATTCTTCTTTGTGGCACAATGGTAATGACCCTTCCCAGCCCAAAATCTCTTATTGCCAAAACATGTTGTCTCTTTTCACATCCACAATTATTTAATGAGTACCCGCCAAGTAGCAAGCACTGTAAAAGTCTCAAGGATGCAGAGAACGACAGCCACAGTCTTGCCTTCAAAGGGCTTATAATCTAGTAGGCAGAGTGGGTATGAAAATAAACAATTATGATACAGGGTGATCCAGGCAAGAATGAAGTTTGCACTGGGTTTGTATGCAGCACAGAGATAGGAGAGATGAACACTGTCAGGGTATTTGGTAAGTTGACAGGAGTAGAGTTTCAAGACCAAACACAAGTTTGCCAGTCGGTATAGAGGAGAAAGACATTCCAGGGTGGGGGAAATGTGGTGTCACGATGCTGAGCCAAGAAGTGTGTGTGTGTGCGCATGCGTGTGTGTGTGTACACACATGCACATGTGGGTAAACTCATTTTTTTTTTTCAGTATTGCTATTGTGTGAAGGATGTGGGGGATCTGCAGGATTTGACATGGAAGAGGTTGATAGGGCCCTCAGGGGACTTGTAGTCCAAGGAGTGTAAAATATCTTCTAAAAACCTTGGAAACCACACTGCTAATTCAAACATGGTTAGATTCACAGGGAGAATGGATGGGATGGGTATGCAGAAGTAATATAAAAGCACATAACAAGTTAGAAGTCTGCTGGGGTGCTCCAAGAAACATATAGACTGTGCAAACTAAGACAGTAGTGATGTAAATAGGCAGAATGCCAGGATTCTAGCGATAATTCAGATGTGAAATGAACAGGATAGCACCCAAAGGGTTAAGAAGGAGTGTGACTCATGAGCTTCTGCTCTGTGATCAATATTTGAAAACTAGATATTTACAGCTTTTCATAGTCCCTGAACTCCTTCGGTAAACACAGTAAGTTAAAGAAACTTCCTGAAACTTTATTCAGACTTTCACTTACATACTAAGTCCATTGGGAAAGCTGACCCTCCAAGTCAGATACCATAAAACAATATAAATGTATAGAATACTAAGAGATATCTATGCTCCTTTGGTTCTCAGATGAAACAATACCTACCCAAGCCCAAAATCTATTTTAAAAGATAATTTTAAAATAGCAGTGGACTGTTCCGCGGAAGACTTGGTCCTGAGACAAGCTCTTATCAGCCATGGGAACTTGAACAAGGTCTTTGACTTCTGCAGGACTCAAATATATTATTTGTACATTGGATAGCTCCCTGTCCTACATGTTTAACTCAGTCTTGAAGTGACTGCCAAATATTATAGTTGCATGTCATCTAAGAAAAATGAAGAGCCTTACAGATCTAAGCAATATCGTTACAAGGAATTACTATTATTAAGCCAGGCATGGTGGCTCATGCCTGTAATCCCGGCACTTTCGGAGGCCGAGGTGGGCAGATCACTTGAGGTCAAGAGTTTGAGGCCAGCCTGGCCAACATGCTGAAACCCCCGTCTCTACTAAAAATACAAAATTTAACTGGGCAAAGTGGCACACACCTGTAATCCCAGCTACTCGGGAGGCTGAGGCAGGAAAATCGCATGAACCTGGGAGGCGGAGGTTGCACTGAGCTGAGACTGCGCCACTGCGCTCCAGCCTGAGCAACAGAGCGAGGCTATGTCTCAAAACAAAATAAACAAAACAAAACAAAACAAACTGTGTGAAGTCTAAAACCACCCTCCCCAGAGAGACACAGTCTCCGAACTCATGCACCAGTGCTAGACTGCACCTATTTAGCCCTTGGTCATATCATCATCCACGTAGTTGAGTGAGAAGGCCCAACATCCCTCACTTCCTGTGTGACTGTTATTTCAGCTCCCTGTGCTTTAGCTCCCTCATCTACCAAATGGGAAGAGTACTCTTGCAAGACTCAGGGTCCTTGTGAGGATTATATAAGCATTAGGCCACAAAACCTGCCACACAGCAAGCAATAAATGAGAACATTTATTAGCTGATTATTATTATTATCAGACGTATTAGTAGCATCTCTTGTTGACCCTCTTTTGCTCAATATGCTATCATTAGCTGTGGCAACATTGAAATATATGTATAAATGTTTAATTTTTTTGTTTTTTGAGACAGAGTCTTGCTCTGTTGCCCAGGCTGGAGTGTAGTGGCACAATCTCAGCTCATTGCAACCTCCGCCTCCTGGATTCACGCAATTCTCCTGCCTCAGCCCCCTGAGTAGCTGAGATTACAGCCACGTGCCACCACACCTGGCTAATTTTTGTATTTTTAGTAGAGAGGGGGTTTCACCATGTTGGCTAGGCTGGTCTTGAACTCCTGACCTCAGGTGATCCACTGACCTCATCCTCTCAAAGTGCTGAGATTACAGGCATGATCCACCAAAAAAAAAAAAAAATATATATATATATAATTGTATATATGTGTGTATATATATTATATATACATATATATAAGTGCATATATATATATATATATATATATATAAATATATATATATAAATGTCAAGAGCCCCAGCTGGGAAGACTGAGAAGTCTGGGATCTGGAATCATCTTTGCTTACGTCTGACACTTGGGTACAGGCCACTCAAAGGCTGCAGTCAGAGCACCTACACATGGCCTCTACATGTGGCCTGGGGTTTCACAGCATGTCAGTGAAGGCCCAAGAGGGATTCCCAAGAGGGAGTGGAAGCTGCTGGACTTGTTCTGACCTGGCCTCAGAAGTAATGCAGTGCCGTTTGTACTGCATTCTATTGGTTACACATGAGTGATTAAGAGCAGCCCAGATCAAGGAGATGGGAGATAGACCCCACCTCCTGACAATGGAGTAGCACAGTCACACTGCACAGGAGCTTGTAGGATGGAAGACACCATTGCCATTATCTTTGGAAAATATAATGTCTTAGCAAGTGTTATTGTGCACCATCCATAATTTCTTCAAGACTTAGCTTTGTAAATATGTAAATAGTGGTAGAACTCTACCTAGAATATAGATGGTGTTCCATAATATTTACTCAGATTTCGTTTGAGTTTCATATTAGTCTCCTGTTAACTAGACTAGAGGCTTCTTGAGGACAGGAATTACACTATATACTGTTTCCATATACCAAACAAACAAAGTCATAAAAACGTTTGGAATTGAGGTAGATCATTTATAACACTGTTGCTTATTGTGGGGAGCACAAAATAAATCAAATTCATCAACTGTAAAGCACAGACATTCAAAGCTTCAACCAATGAGAGAGAACATCTCTATTTTGGTTATAGGTTCTATAAATTTTGGTTATTTTTGTATTCCTACAACCATATATTTGAAAAGTGATGCAAGTGGTACTTAAACATGTATCTCCAGAACTGCAGCATTACTTCTTTCAATGTAAACTAATTAAAGATGAATAACTGCAATTACTGCCTTTTTAGTCCTTTCCTACTCATGTTGAATTTGTGTCACCTTGTAGTATTTAGATCGTGTTCTATTTGCTCTGATTCAGATTCTGAGTCATCAAAATGTTTGAAATAGGTCTGAAAATAGCCTGAATTAATTCTCTGGATTGCTGCTTATAACAGATATACAAGGGAAGCATTTTATAATTTTAAAGGAAAACTCTCTTTGTTGCACCCCTCCCCCACCCCAAAAAAAGAAAAAAATCCAAAGCTCAGAATTTGCTTCCCGGGCACCAGGTATTTTTAATAATGTAGCAGGAGCAAAGGGGGTGGCAAGAAAGATGGAAAAGGGATGAAATGTTCAACTATTAAAGCAAAAAGAACAGGGTCTTCAATCCGTTTATCAAAAACAATGTGGAGGACCTTCTCAGTCTTCCCAAATGTGGTCTCAAGAAAAATGAAGGTGGTCTGGCAGCAATAACAATGGAGAGGGAGGGAAATGGTGACTTCAGAGGCAGTCACAACAAACACGTGGTAACTGAAGACAGCGGCCAGTGAGCGCCGGGTGACAACTGCAGGTCTCTCGGGACCAGGAGACATCCAGCATCACCTCCTCCCATTGCCCAGGTGCCACTGGCATCTGATCTACAGGAATTACTCACACACCATCTCCATCTGTGCCTTCCCCCTTTCAAGTTTCTGCTAGATGACCAGAGGAAAAATGTGATCATTCACCCAGTATCTGTATAATAGCTATAATTAAAGCCCTCTCATTGCCAAAAACGCAGTGTGAGAACTTGGCCGAAAACATACACAATGAAAACACAAGGCCATCTTTACATAGGGGAAAGTGAAGGACATGTTTTAAATTGTCAGAACTGAATGGCCTTTCGTCTACAGGTGGAAGGTCAAGGCTGCTCACAGGTTTGACCATTTTCATTCACCAAAGGAAAGACGTTAGAAGTTGAAGAAGTACCAAGGAAACCTCAAAAGGACTCAGCCCATGAAAAGTACTGCAGTGCCCACCCTGAGCTGGTCCACATTGCTCATTTCAGTGGTCATCTGAGGTGGTGGCCCTTCCACATGCCTGGAGCAACCTTTCTGAAGAAAATAGCCCAGTCCAGAAAACACAAGGGATCAACATTTTAGTTTTTTAAAGTTCATTTTGAGAGAGAGCTACAGAGATCAGAAATTTCTGCTTCAAAAATATGTGTAACTTAGTTTTGTTTTTGTTTTTGTTTTGTTTTGTTTTGTTTTGAGACGGTGTTTCGCTCTTGTTGCCCAGGCTAGAGTGCAATGGCACCATCTCAGCTCACTGCAACCTCCACCTCCCGGGTTCAAGCAATTCTCCTGTCTCAGCCTCCCAAGTACCTGGGATTACAGGCATGCGCCACCATGCCCAGCTAATTTTATATTTTTAGTAGAGACAGGGTTTCACCATGTTGGTCAGGCTGGTCTCGAACTCCCAACCTCAGGCGATCCGCCCGCCTCGGCCTCCCAAAGTGCTGGGATTACAGGTGTGAGCCACTGCACCCGGCCTGTTTTATTGTATTCTACAAATCTGTCACAGATAAGCTGCAATATAATTATTATTCTTATTAGCCAAACAGTGAGAATTATTACTAGTACAATGACAATTACAATTAACCCTTAAAGGGATATTTTATATGTGTCAAACACTATGCCAACTGCTTCACAGAGATGATCTCACCAAAGCCCTAAAACAGCCCTAAGTAATGATACAATTATATCTCTTATTTTAAAGATTAAAAACTGAGAGGCTACATAACTTGGCCAGGGTTACACAGCTAGTAAGCGGTAGAGCTGGATATACAAGGCTAGTTGGTCAGGCTTCATATTCCACACTGTTAACATTTCAGATGAAAAAAATATTTAAAAAACTACATATTTTGTGGCAATATTTCCCACACAGAAATTTTTTTGAAAAATCTAAAGTACCAACTGAGGTACTTGTTACAATACAGATTCCATGGCCCTGGCTGCAGAGCTGCTGATTCCTCAGGTTGGTGTGGGCCTAGAAATCTGCACTGTAGCAAGTACTTCAGGCAATGCTAACGCAAAGAGACTAGGTTAGGGAAACATCACTAGTTGATGCACGAGGCTGATACAGAATGGAAAGCGTCATGCTTAGCATTGTTTGCGAACAATGTGCATCACTTTGGTTTCTGTCTATTGATTGAATAACCTCCCCAGTCACGGGAACTGAGTCTTAGAAACCGCTGTTTTTAGACAAAACACTCGACCATTCCCTCCTTAAGGGGCTTCCTTTTTCTCGGTATGTTTTCAAGTTTTATGTTTCATCTCAGATAAAGTCTCACTTGGGTTCTAATATGGATTTAACAGCTGCTAATCTCTTCTTTAATAAGAAAACAGGCAGAAACAACAGGAATGACAAGCGCTGCAAGAGATGAGGGCAAGAATGGGGAAGCATCAGAAGCAGAAGTGAGCCGACACACTGTCAGGGTGTAGGACCCAAATCTGCAACGCTGGATCCCAAGCTTCAAGGTTTGTTGTATCTGTGAAGCTTAAAACGGGTCTAAGACTTGCTGACCACTCAAAAGCAGCTTTCTTCTATTATGAATATGTAAGTAGAAAAATCCAATTAGAAACAAGAAACGAAGAAATGGGTGATTATACGATTATAACCATTCTCCTGTTAACAGGTCATTCATGTGATGTACACTTAAATGTCTTAGGGTTCAGTCCATCAGATCAAATACAGCTATACACACATGTTATTTATCATGATTCTTGCTAAGTGCTTTTAAAATAATGCACTGGAGCAAAAATAACAGCATAAGATAACTTTGCATACAGTTCCCAAATGGTGACCACATAAAGGTAGCATATTTCAGCTTAATTCAATTGCTTGGTATAGAAATGCACGACTGAAAGAACATAAACTCGGAGGAAAAAATGGGAGGAAAAAATAGTATATCATTTTCATGGTAAGTAACATCATTCTAATATTGTCACTGTAACCACAATACCAGTGAAAGTTAGAAATGGCTTGGACAAAGCAAAAAAGGAGTCACCCAGAAAAACAAGGAAAGAGAAGTAGTCGAGGTCTATGTTTACCAATTACTTATCACGTGCTAGGCTCTTTTCTGTTTTTTACTTGAGAAACATGAAAAATAAAAACACATACCACGAAAAAGGGACTTTTAGAAAGGGCCTGTCTTTTCCTCCATGAAATGCCAAAGACAGGACTTGCATTAAAGAAATAAATTTTTCTCTACTTTGGAGTACATATATAAACCTTTGACATCATTGTCTTGCTGCCAAAAAGCACTGTCTTATTCATTGATGTTGGATGTTAACGTACATAGAAATACAAACATCCGATTTTAATTAATGCATCAAAATACACAAAATGGATTATAACAACTACCGTTTTTTTTTGTGCACCCTACCTGCAGGCGAGTGCCCGGAGATGATGCATTGCTTCCATCTCTGACTATCCCTATGCTGGTAATTACATTCCAGGTGCAAAGTGAGGCAGTAAGGACCACACACCTTCATTATCCATTAACAGCATGCTACATTAAGCTTTGAATATTTACCTTGATGCCAATTAAATATTGGTGATGGCAGCATCAATAAGGAAGAAAATCTTGGCCAAGGCCCCACTTGCCCTTGGTTTCTGTGCAGTTCTTTGTAAATAACATCCTGAATTTTTAACACATCAACCCGCACAGAATGCACTCGATCAAATCGTCTTTAAAATAAGCAAATCCTGCCGATCCATTACCTCAATAGGCCACAAGACTAGCGCCGGCAAACACCCACCACTGACAAGCCAATGCCTTGAGCGTTTGACTCTCTCGGGCGGGGAAAGAAAAGACGATAGTTAGCATTTAGATGGATGACAACGCAGCAGACAGTGAAGTCTGAACCCGGCAGAAAGGCATCCAGCATTCTCTGGAGTGTGTAAGGCTTCATGACTGGCTGACTAGATCACGGACAAACATGACTCACAGTGCAAGATAAAGAGAAAAACCAAACAATTTCAGCAGTTTAACCAAACCAAGACCGAAATGTGTTTAGGCCAGGTCTACACATGTTGCATGAGACTTTCGTTTAAAAATGACAAGGCTGCATTGAGATAGAATGTACCTGCCTCTCCTCTATCTGTTAGTATCATTATTATTTTCTCCACATCACTCAGTATATCAGTTCTCATTACAGCTGTATAATTCTCTTTACTCCTTCCCAAGATTGTATACATAAAAACTCAATAGAGGAACAACTGAGAAATACTGCTGGAATTCAGAGAACACAGACCAGTCTGGAATGGCTTAATTATAAGCGTCGGGCTTTATGAAAAGGTAGGATTTGAAATGAGGCTGGTCAGATGTTTAGAGTTTGGCCAGGCAGAATAGAGGAGAGATTGAAATCTCAGAAGGAAGTGACTTGGAAAATAAAATACTTAAGAAAGCCTGGAAAGAGAGTGATCAGATCAGAAGGTATGTGGTAAGGGACTCATCGGGGCCACCGTAAAAGGGTATAGTGACTCTAAAAATGTGTTACGGTCAGAGAGAAGTCAAAGAAAATTTAAGTTAGACAGCAATATGGAGATGAATCCTTTACAGATTTTCAACAGGGGTAATTTAAAACATAAATCAGAAAAGGGCATTTCAAAATTGCCAAGAGTAGATTTTAAATGTGCCACAAACAAGGAGAGATAAGTATGTGAGGTGATAGATGTAGTATCAGCTTGATTTTATTTTATTCCATAATGTATACACGTATCAAAACATCACATTGTACCCCATAAATATACATATATATAATTACTATTTTCCAATTAAATAAAATGAAACACACAAACACAACAAAGGGGCAAAATAAAACTTGCTTTGCCAGGCGTGGTGGCTCATGCCTGTAATCCCAGTACTTTGGGAGGCCAAGGCAGGTGGATCACCTGAGGTCAGAAGTTCAAGACCAGCCTGGTCAACATGGTGAAACCCCATCTCTACTTAAATATACAAAAATTAACCAGGTGTGGTGGCGGGTGCCTGTAATCCTAGCTACTTGGGAGGCTGAGGCAGGAGAATCACTTGAACCCAGGAGGCGAAGGTTGCAGTGAGCCGAGATCACGCCATTGCACTCCAGTCTGGACAACAAGAGCGAAACTTTTGTCTCAAAAAAAAAAAAAAAAAAGAAAGGCTTTCTTTGAGTTGAAATGCTCTGTATCTTGTTTTGAGTAGTGGTTTCCTAGGTATATACAAATGTCAAAACTCAAACTGAACACTTAAGATCTATGGATTTTATTGTAGGCGTTTTATTTATTAATTTTTTATGTTAATGTGAGTTCATTTAAAAAATAAAATTACAACATAGAAAATAAAAACTCAGATACTCTGTCCTTTCAATCACTCCAGGGGTTCCGTGGTATACATAATAAAACAAAAAACACTAACTTTCTATTATGGCTGGGCCAAGACTTACAGGATTTTCCTGCCGCCCGCCGCCTCCTACATTTCCGTTGTCACCTCAAGTCCCTCTTCACTTGGTCACTCTTCCCAGCCCAATCCCCCTTCTTTATTTTCCACTGCCCAGGCCAGCCCTGCCCCATGTCAGTCTTTGTTCTTGCAATTCTGTGCACTTCCTGGAATACTCTTGTCCCAACCCCCTTGCTCCTCTGCAAAGCGGGTCATGATTCTTTCTACAAAATGGCCTCTCTAAATTACTATCTGAACACCCTGTTCATTTCCATCATAACATCTACGGTCATCCTCCTCATGTATGTGCTTAATTTCTCATTATCAGTCTCTTCCACTAAAAAGTAAGCTCTGTGATTGGAGGGAGGTGGCCATTTCCACAGGGTCCAGCTCAAGACCTAGTATACAATAAGTGCTCTATAAACAGTTCTGTGAATTAGAGTACATAATGTACTTTTCTAACCATACACCCCTGTTGTACTAGAAATCCCTCAAAGGTAGGGACCATGTCTTCATCATTTCTGTATCTCAGCTACCCAACTCAGGGCCTGGTACACAATAGAAGCCCATATGATGTTTATTGAATTTATAAATATGTTTAAATTGAAATCTAAAATACCTTCCCCAGTAAATTTCAAGAAAAATTCATTTTGCAGAGAAATTCACTTGCCCCTGAGAAATCCACTAACTTATCAAATTTTAAATCACAGGATCTGAGAGTTGCAAAGACTTTCCCAGCCCGTACATTAGATTTGACTCTTGACTCAAAGGGATAAGAAAATCAACCTGCAGTGAACTCACCCGGGTCTTCTCCACAGTGAGAAGTAGCACAAGACTTAAACCATTTCAACATGATCAATTTAGAGGACTTTTGTGTTTCACTCTCAGTGGACTACATAAACATATTGAAAAAATTAGTGATAGATTTAGACATCAAGTAGTGACCTAGCTGCCTGTTTTTTTTCTTCTGTAAGGATTGTAAAGAGAAATAAAAAGATATAAACAATTGATTCACACAACAACATGGGTGAATCTTCTCACATATTATCCCAAAAATATATTGAATGACTACATTCAAATAAAACTCTAGAAAGCCCAAATTTATACCCAGTAACAAGAAGCAGAACAATGGTTTCCTGGGAATAGGGGTGGAAGAAAGGATGGATTACAGTGGGGGGCACAGGCAGTTTTGAGGTGATGGAATTTATTATGATGATGGTTTCATGAGAGTATACACGTGCAAAACTTACCAAATTGTACATTTTAAATATGTGTAGTTTATTATATGTCAATTATAGCTCAAGAAAATTGTAATATATAAAAATAAAATAAAAGTCTCCACATAGGATGATTTTTAAAACTTTAAATATGCCATCAAATTAGCAGCATTTTAATTTTTGTAATTACTAGGCATGTGCCCATGGCTAATTGAAATTCATTATCTTCCCTGCTACCTGTTTATTCTTATTGTCTGTTAAAACTTAGCTGAGACATCGCCATTCCATACTCCTAGAAAGATGGCGGAGGGCATTTCCCGTCATCCACTGGGTCAGTTAGCCATCTTTTTGATGTGTGCTCAAGAACCACTGATGAGAGATACTATAGCTTTTTGATGGCTATGGGTTAGTCTATCCTAAGGCCAAGGACTATGAAAATCATCTTTTCATTCCAGAACCTCACAGAATATAGTAATTAACTCCCTTGCACTTTTTCTACCTACCCAAATCCTCTTCCTTCTGTTCTGGAAGCCTAAGGAGTCCACACAGCTTCCTTTCTACACTGGCTGGTAAGATAAGGTACAAAGTCCAAGACTTGTGCAGTTGGCTATTCTCATCCAAGACTGTGACTGTTTATACATGACAGAAAGGTGGACAGAGAGTTCAAAATTGGTGTAGATAACAACATTCGGAAACCTTAAAACTAGTGACATATGCTGTCGCGACTAGCCCAAACCTATGGCAGGGCTTAGGCTATGACTTTTGTTGCCAAATTTCCTTCTCTTCTTGTCTCCTTTATTAACCTTGTTTTCCTGGCTGCCTAATGATTCTAGAAGCTACCTGACACTCTTCCAGTAAGTTCCTTTTCTGCTTAGGTTGCTTACAAATTAGAATCCTGGCTCATACAAAGACAACCTGGCACAAAATACAGGACCAAGAAAATGGATATGTGAAGGAGAAGAAAGGACCTAAAATCTTCAGAACTTCTCCATGAACTCTTGTATCCGTGGAATCCTGGTTCATAAAAATGAATCTGGGAGCAGTGATATTTCCCAACACTGCAGAATTCTGCCCCAGAACTGACTGGAGCATTCTTTTTCTTGTCACAACTTTTTTTTTTCCTCCCCCAAATGAATCCTCTTTCGTAGAGAATCCACTAGTGTAATTTAGGACTCTCCCATATTTTCTAGCTGACATGATTAAGTCTAGCCAATGGAAACACCAGGGCAGAGATTTGATGGTTGTGTTTCAGAAACTCTGGAGACCCCGATAAAGTCATGGAATATTAACCATGGTATGAGGGTAAAAGAAATTCAAATCTAAGATTCCAAGTCAGAAAACCAAAAGGGGTTTAGTAATTCCTATCATCTTCACCCTCGAATTAAAGGCTCTGTGGGAAAGAAGATATTTGTATCTCTTACTGGGGAAAGGTCTGCTTATTTCTTTTGTTCATTTTTCTAGAGAACTTTTGCCCTTTTTCTTACTGATCTGTAAGGGCTCATAATTACAGGAGTGACTATAGTGCAGTTGTCAAAAGCATGGATTTTGCCCTCAAACAAACATAGTTCTAAATCCTGGCTTCACCATAACTTATCTGTGGGGCTTTGGACAAGTCTTTTCTCTAGGTTTGTCATCTTATCTATTAAATGGGGATAATAAGAGTACCTGCATCATAGGGCGAAAATTTAGGGAGATGATCCACATAAAACATGTAGCATAATCCGTGGCCCAAAATGGTTTTCATTAAATGTTACCTGCACACATTAGCTATTACAATCTGTAATATCAGCTGTATTTTCTTTTAATTCACGCTGACTCTATAACCTAAATCTAGAGCTGGTGTCAGATAGCTTTCCTAGAAAGGACCAGATTGTAATTAATTTTCAATTAATAATTAAAGTGATATTGTAGGTTTTGTGGCCCAGTCAGTCTGTCTCTACAATCACTCAACTCTGCCGACGTAGCCTTAAAAGCAGTCACGGGCCATATGTAAAGCAACGGGTGGGCTGTGTTTCCATAAAACCTCATTTATGGACAGTAACATTTTAATTTTATATAGTTTTCACGTCGCTAAATGTTTTTCTTCTTTAGATTTTTTTCAACCACATACCAATATAAAAACAATCCTTAGCTCATGGACCACACAAAAACAGGGGGCAGGACAAATCTGGCCTACAGGCTGTAGTTTCCCAACCTCTCATTTAGAGAAAGATGAATCCTGTATGTGGCCTCTGTCTGAGGCAGATACTCATTGCAAGCCCACCACCAGAACCTGCTGTTAAATGACATGCCGATAGACAATATGGTAAAATGTGATCAACAAAAGCCAGTACTGTAACTTTGAGAACCTCAGAGTATGTCATAAATGCCACGTCAAGTGCCAAGATTTTCTTTACACTGCATTTTTTAAACTTTTGATAAAAAGTCACCAACAGCTATTCAGTGTCTATTTCTACTTGGTTGTTAGACAAAATTCTTTCTACTTTCATTATATTAGAAGCATCTTGAAAGGAAATTAACAGTTTGTCACCTTAACAGTGTGAAATTATGCAGATGAAAACTGTAATTTTTTAAAGATAATGTCTTTTATTCATTTACATTCATAAGCATTTACTAGAAATATCTGTATTTAGAGGATTATTAGAGAAAAATACTGCACAAATTATAAAAATATCCCTAAACTAAAAGGATTTGCTTAACTATGCTTGCGTTTTTATTCTAAGTTCTTCTCCAACTCTTTACCAGCAATGCCTTAATGACTTGTATAATGTACCTGACTATATATATGCCTACAATTTGACATCAAACAAATGCCATTGTGAGGTTAAACACATGTTTTAGTTCCCTTATTTCTTATCTGTACTATAAGTATATCACAACATGCTAGAATAAAAGCAAAATTCTTGTTCAAATCTCTGCTAAAATTGATACGGCTTTAGTATCCATTGTATTTTCAATGACAGTTATCCATACATATGTAAATTTTGTAAATATCCTAATTTTGAAATTAGAATCAGCATTTTTGACACTTTGCATTTGTAAAAGTTCCCCCAGCCCCCAGGAAATGAAAATAGGCTTATAAAGACAATATTGCAATAAGCTGTTCCACATCTGGTTATCAGAGCTGTATTTTCTTATTTAAAAAAAAATTCACAAAAAAAACCCCAGCTTCTATATGCTTGGTTTCTCCTTCTGTTATTTCCCATTTAACAGTAGTTTCACATACAGCCAGGCATGTGCCAAACATAGGGCCAATAATAAAAAATACTGACTTAATATAATTTGCTTCCTTGGCTGCTGGGAAAGCAGAAAGCGTTGAAAAACTGTTTTGTGTTTATTAGTGAAGCTATTGCAGAGGGTGACTGGGGTTTCATTATAAAGGGCCTGCAAACAGTTTTAGCACAAATGCCAATATACATTTTAGAATCTAGTGCAATTTTAAGTATTTTCACTCAAATGGCTTTACAGAATCTACAACACAAATAAGAAGTATATTGTGTTTTAACACCACCACCAACTACTCTACTATTTGTTGCATTGATGTCCCTTGTGAATGCTTCAAACCTTTCTCCTTTCACGAAATGTAATGGGCAAATATATTCCCTGGAATCCCGAGGTATGATTAGTTACTAAGCAATCAAAAAAAATCACAGCAAGGCATACTTCTGAAAGAAATTAGAGGAGTAAAGATCACTTCTCTATTTGTGTTACATAGCGAATCACACAATACCTCATCGATGGTACTGTATATATTAGTTAACAACCATGGGCTAGCTGGAAGCTCATACATCAGTGAAAAGATCTTTGTCAATTGCTGTATGCCTCATTATCTGACTAAGATTTCTTGGCAACAATTAACAGTTACCCAATTCATAGAAATTGCCTTTATTATTTTTGAAGCAGCTACTTTCTTTGGCTTTAATGACTAAGAGAATAGAGACAGATGTCTCTGTTGCTAGGGAGACTGAATTTAAAAAAAAAAAAAACCTTTGAAATGAAGTAAATAAGCAACTACCATCTTTTTTTTTTAAGAATTCTGTTGGTTTTGAATTAACTATTTGTTTTAAAAACAAACCAGCAGTAGCTCCAATTTTTAAAGAAAATACACTAGAATGGTTTATTACCATTCTTCTCTTACAGTAATAAATTATTTTAAAAAAAGAAAAGAAAAATAAGCCCACCTGTGCACTCAATATTAATTGAGGCTGTTTATCTGAAACTGGTACCTTCTTTGTACTGGTACCTGAATTCAACAGGAATTAGCTTTTTCTATCTTCTGTCAATCCTCTACAAGTGAAGAGAAAGTAGCTCCTCCCCTGAGCTAGGAGCACCCAGGCCTTGCAGATCAGCCTTGCCTGGTGAGTCCTTAGAACTGATACCCCCTTCCTCGCTGAGCTCCTATCTAACCTACAGCCCCTTTGTCCAGATCTCTAGACTCTGAAAAGCAAGTAAAGTGGTCCAGGCCAAGAACTGCTTGTCAACTAGGCCTGAGCGAAGTGATATTTCTTCCTTAAAATCTCTCCTGCTCATCCATTCTCTTCTGTCTTTAATTCCTGATGCTTGATAATATATGTAATGCACTTGTGTTTTGGTATATCTTTGGCATACACATCCTGTTCAATATCTGCCACAATCCCCCTCCTAAATTTGGTATGTTTTAAGAGAAATGATACTGTTGCACAAAAAGAAAAAAAAATCCAGTTTTAAATGAAATCACATAAAATAAAAAACAATTACAATCCATGTTAATTCTTTGAAAGAGCCCCTAATCTCTTTTGGAATCTATACAAAATCTCCCAAATGTCTTTCTCACCCTGTTTTAATTAAACCATTACCAAGCATCAGCATTCAATTTAAGGATAAACCAAAAATTGAATAGGCATTTGTTTTGCCTATTTTGCTTAAATATTAGTACAGCATGTTAAAATGTAGCAAACTATTTTGTCTCTCTATTTTTAAGTGTTATATGCTATCACAGTAATTAAAAATAACCCATATCATGCAAAAAACATGCAAAATAAAAGCTACTTCCCCTTCTTATTTAAGAAAGTGTTCAGAAATATAATTACAATTTTTGGCTTCTCTGGCCTGAGAACCTGAGCACTATTTATAACATTCTTCTTTGCAAAAGCATATTCTTAGCTCCAAATGCTGGACTGAAAAAGTTTACAAGAAATTTTTATTTGAAGACTTTCCATTTGTTTCATTAAAATCTTAATTTCATGAGATACAATTATTATGGAAGGCTTGTGATTATCAGGTCTCACTAAACGAAACTGCGTCTAAATAAAGTGGTACAGCATTTTGGATGAATGCAGAAACGTTGGAGTTCCTCATTCTGGGCTCACATCTCATTTCAGCCACTTACTTGAGGTGGGACTTCAGTCAACTGCTTGACTTTTCCAAGTCTCACTTTTATCGATGGTAAACTGTGAATATTAATTACCTCTTAAGTTTTCTGTGAGGGTTAAAATGATGTACTGAATATCATTATGCAATGCCATCAAAGAAGGAAACACTAAATAAACGGCAGTAGTTAGTATCATTATTGGTATTAGCTACTTTTCAGTTTTCTGTGAGTATTAATTAAAAAATAAATAGCTTTCTAACTGTTTTTTTTTCTTTTTTCTTTTGTTTTTTTAAAAGATGGAGTCTCGCTCTTATCACCCAGGCTGGAGTGCAGTGGCCCGATCTCTGCTCACTGCAACCTCCGCCTCCCAGGTTCAAGCGAGTCTCCTGCCTCAGCCTCTTGAGTAGCTGGGATTACAAGTGCCCAAAACCACGCCCCTCTAATTTTTGTACTTTTAGTAGAGAGCAGGTTTCACCATGTTGGCCAGACTAGTCTCGAACTCCTGACCTCAGGTGATCCACCATCCTCAGCCTCCCACAGTGCTGGGATTACAGGCATGAGTCACCGCGCCCGAACACTTTCTAACTTTTAGTGAGAATTGGAGACATTGTATGTTCTCCATGTCAGGTATCATCATATTACTTAGGGACATTTGCTTTAGACCCAATTGTGATTTATTTCCAAATACAGGACTATTTTCACTTTGGATGACTTTATTATCTAATGAGATTGAATTAATTTTAATAATTACAGCTTGGTCATCCCAGCCAAGCTAACTAGCTTGTTCCACTCTGAGCATGACTTGCTCCAGCTCTTAAGAGATATTGCTCCATGGCTGGGTGCAGGGGTTCACGCCTGTAATCCCAGCACTTTGGGAGGCCAAGGCAGGTGGATCAAGAAGTCAAGAGTTTGAGACCAGCTTGGCCAATATGGTGAAACCTTGTCTCTACTAAAAATACAAAAATTAGCCAGGCATGGTAGCGCACGCCTGTAGTCCCAGCTGCTTGGAAGGCTGAGGCAGGAGAATTGCTGGAACCCACGAGGCAGAGGTTGCAGTGAGCCAAAATTGTGCCACTGCACTCCAGCCTGGGCAACAGAGCAAGACTCTGTTTTAAAAAAAAAAAAAAGAGAGATATTGCTCCACCTATAAAAAACACTCTCCCAATATGCTCTCTTTATTTGAAATCTACTCAGAATCGTGTCTCTGCTATTAAGATATCCTCATGAACTCCTACTACTTTATATTACTGCATTAGGTCAGAGATTCTAAGCTCCGTGAATCACGCACAGAACGTTCATTTAACAAATATTAACTGAGCACCTATTGTATGCAAGGTACTATTCTATGTGTTAGAAATATAGCACTGAACAAGTCAGAGGAAGTTCCTGCTCTCTTAGCCCCTGAATTTTAATTGTAGGAGGTTAAAAAAATCTGATAAACAAATTGGTTTCAGTTCAAAACTTGGAGAGGAAATAATAGAACAAGTTGATTTAAGAGTAACCAGAAAGACTGCCAAGTTTCAGGGAAGGCAGAGCTACAGTTTATGGCCACCCGTCTTGTGAACTGTACAACTCTAGAAAGTTCTGCTCATGTAGATTGCAAACAGGTGACGTGCGTTGAGCACTAAATGGCACAGAAGGAAAGGCCATGCAAAGATCTATGTAAAGAACATTTTTATAGGAGGGACAAAATAGAACAAAGACTCTAAAGGAGGCATGAGGTTTGTATGTTTGAACGCAAGGCACGGCAGTTGACCACAGCATCTGGGCATGGGGGCAGGTGCACAGAAAGGAGGGTGAAAGGTAGGCATTGAGGTGGCTCCTAGGTCTGCACCATATCATCTTGAACAGCTTGCACCATATCATCTTGAATAGCTTTTGTAAAATATGGATACATGGACCCCACCCCAGATCAATTAAATCACAATCATTGAAGGTAGAGCCCAGGCACTGTGTGTGTGTGTGTGTGTGTGTGTGTGTGTGTGTGTGTGCGTGTGTGTGTTAGAGTTTCCTAGAGGATATTAAAACACAGCCAACATTGAAAAACACTGATAAAAAGCTTTATAGTCCCTGATAAGGGATTATGATTACTATGTTGGTTTTTTAATTAATGTTCCTGGTTATTTTTTAGTGTCTCATCTCCCCATTTAAAATTTGCATTCCGGGCACTTTCTGATCGTTTTATCTTTGCAGAACACCAACTGGAGAACTACAGATGCAATAGATGCACAATACAAGGCTGTGATTGTCTTCTGTATGCCTAAATCTGCTTAGAGTGCACTGGAGAAATAGACTCATGCTTCCAGGCATATTCCCAATTACGTTTAAAAAAATAAACAAACAGGTGCATGAAAACTCCAGCACTTAGCAGCTGGCTCCTATGCATTTCCTCAGGGGAAATGGAGCTATTGGCTAGGCATTCTCCTGAGTATTTACGAAGATACAAAGAAAGGTGGTTTTGACCTCTGTTTCAGAATTGAAAAACACTAGGACCTCGGGGCCATGAGGAAGAGGGTCAAGACTCCCAAATGCTGCTTAACTTTCACCAAGATACGCATGTCCCAGAATCCCAGCGACTTCTCTAAGAGGCAAAAATTGTTCTTTCCAATTTTGAAAGTCAGAAACCAGAGGTGCCATGGAAAGGACTTGCTGATGAAGGTCACATAGAAAGCGAGAGGGAGAACATAAGCAAAAAATTGTGGTGTTTGAAAATGGCTGTTGGCATGTGCAGAATTCTGAAGAGTCATTCCAGGATTGTTTGAGGGTGGTCTAGCTGTGACATCTGTCACTGTAACAGCAGCCAGGGTTGGTTTTGATAAATCTCTGCTTCATATTCTCAGTTTATGAGAAGGCCCTTCCCAACTGGAATAGAATCATCCTTCAGTTGTGGGTGAGAGGAATTGTCAGAGGTCTAGTGAGACTTCTCCTAGGTAACATGTGATTGGAAAGAAGTTGTATCCTTGGTAGCATATTCCTGAAATTCTCATAGTGATCAATACAAGAGTAGTGATCGCCGTGAGCACTCCAGGCTCACATCAGCAGCCTTCCTACCTGTACTGCTTAAAACTTCGACCTGTAGGCATGTCCAATCTTAAATAAGGCTTCTAAAATCACAGATTATTGACATAGGCATTGAACATTATTTATTATAGAGTTTAATAATTTCAGCCTGGGTTTGCATCCTATATCTGCCACTTAGGAGCTGTGTGATCTAGACAAACCAGTAAAACACAACTTCATAAAGACAGGAGCTTTTGAATCAGACTTCTTTTGCAGTGATGTATCCTTATAAAAATGCTTGCTATGAATGCATAAACCTTAGTTTCTTCATCTTTAAAATGGGAATAGCCGTAACATCTATCTCATAGATTTTTATAAGTATTAAATAAAATAATGCATGCAAAGAACATTACATATTGCCTAGTGAATAGTAAACAGTCAGTAATGTTAGTGGAGGAAAGGCCAGTGTAATCATTTTTAGCAGAATATTAATAATAATTAGATAGCTTTCCAATTACCTAACAATATTCTAACAATAGAAGTACACTCTCTCAGGCTACCTAACAATCATTATCTTGAGTATCTGATCCCAAATATAGGCTCCAAACATCAAACGAAGGACTGTATTTTGAATAACAATTGGAAATTTTATCCAGATTTTTGATTCACCTATTTCAGCATCTTTGCTTTAAAAACTCCTCCCCTTTGATTTTGAGCTCAATCTAGGAAAGAATAAAATCACCATGGTGACAACTGCCCCCTCTTCAGAGCATATTCAAATTTATGTTGAGCTTTCATGAAGCTGCTGTGTCTTGCCTTTACATTGTCTCTTGGAGTCACTCAAAGGCAGAGGAATTTCTTTATTACTTCAGGTAGCCTTCAAGGATGCAAAAGAGTAATTTGGAGATCTGGAATTGCAAATTTGATAATAAATAATTCTATCATTTGAATTGGGCAAATTATGTACTAGGGCCCTAATGTTAAAGGCATCATAGGTAACATGAATAACAGCCTTATTTAACAAAAATGTATGTATCGTAGTATTTTTTTCCCTGGAGTATCTGGTCAAGACATTCATTGAGTGGGTGTCACTTATTCAGAAAGCTGTCATGCATTACATCAGTTAGGGCTTTGATACTGACATAATGCCAATGGACTAAACAAATTTAGATCTTCCTGCTTTATAATAAACATCATGCCACCCTGAGTTGTGCCAGAAAATATTGCTATTTCACTGTTGCATTCTGCTTATGCAGGAGATAGAAGCTGAGAAAAAAGTCAGGTGAGGCTGGCTGAGTAACAGAAGTTTAAGGGAGTGCCAAAGTGATGACATAGTGTACCATGGAGTGTTGTGGGAATTAAATGAGATAATGTATGTTTAATCCTTAACGGAGTTGGCCCACGATATCACGTGGTCTCCATGTGCTTGCTATTATTAAGTTCCAGAATGTATTATTATTGTTGTTATGGTTGCTGGTGTTGTTGCTGTTACTGAATTTCAACATTTAGTCTAAAATATATCTACATTTTGGGAAAATTCTCAATCTGATCTGTATATATATATATATATATATATATATATATATATATATAACTAAAATGGCTTTTCAAAGCAATCCCAAAACACTGAGCTTATAGGTCTTCAGAGCCAAAATCTTGGATACACAAATACACATTCAAAATATTTTTCAGCAAAGGCAGAGAGGTTTTGTTTGATAAATTCATCTTATCACTGTTCAGGGAACTTGAGAAAGTGTGATGTGGCATCTCTGGTTACAAACTATCTATAACAAAAAAAAAATGTCACTACCATTTCTTATACCCAAATTAGGAAACACACCAACAGCAGAACTATCTTATAAATGGCTAATTTCACACATTCAAATCTAAATTGATGACCTTCAGTACGTGATTTATATAACAAGGAGGCTCTAGGGGGCTAGATTAGCACCCTCAGGTAACTTTTCTGAAATATTTACCTTGACATCCTTAACTTTGAACACACATGCATGCACACACACAGTCTAGAACAGAATTATTTGTCTCATGAATCATCCTGTTCCATGTCCTGTTAAAATAGCAGTGTCACTATGCAGAGGCATAATCTTTTTGCTCTGGAATGGCCCACAGCTGGCAATCCATAAAGACTGCTGATGAGTCAAACTGATTTGTTCCTTCAAGGAAACTTGGTGGGCAGTAACATTTCCTCTCCTGAAGCCCCTAATGGTCTTCCCAGGAGTGATATCCATGTGCGCATTGGACCTCTTGAATCAATTTAATATCTCAATTTGTGCTACCGGCATTTCACTTGACAGTGGCAGGTCTCCCAAGCACTTCTGCAATGACACTGCTGGCCTCATTTAAGGTCATACATCTATTAAATTTAGAATTAATTCCCTTTTCCTATGTCAGCCCCATCCAAGTTCTTAGATGTAATCACATAAATCTAAAACAAGCTCAGTGAAGGACGCTTTGTGGACAGAATTTATTCATTCATCCAGAAAAACTATTTATTGATCACCTATTATGTCCCAAGCAGTTGGTGAAGCAGTGGAGATTTAGTAATAAGGAAGCCAGATATGGTGGTTGTCTTCCCAGAGCACAGATTCATAAGATGAGAAACCTGAATAAAATTGGCTAGTCCAAAAAGATTTCCTCCTTGAATTTAAATCACAGAAGAAGTGGCCACACATAACCCTCGTCTGAGTGCTATGGTTTAGGGAAGAGTTTTCCCCAAGAAGCATCAACGGACCAGTGCTGCTTGAGTCTCACACATTTGCACTGCTTTCTAGTGAAAGGAGAAAAAAAGAGAGTTTTACCAACCTTATCTCCCACAAATTATTTATGTAAATCTTTCTTTTGGGTCACAGTGGTTGCTCCCTAGAGTTTGCTTTTCTTTTTTTTTTGCCAATTTCATATACTGCAATATTTCCCAACCGTCTTTCCAGCATTGCCTTCCCAATGGCCACCAACAATTAATAATACTGGCATTATTCCTTATTATTTGTGTTGATCTTGATACATTTTTTAAAATTATTTTTTAAAACATTATTTTAAAAGTCAATTATAAAAGACTTAAACATTTTAAAAACAGTATTATTTACTGTAAATAGAAAGTAATTGTAAAAATAAATTAATTTTTAAAAAGCTCCTAATTTCAAACTAGAAACTATTGGCTAATAAAAGTTCTGTATGTGAACCTACTACTTTTTTCCTAAAATAGAGGTATTAGCAAGTTTAAGAGAGTTATTAGAGTCACAGTAGTTGCAAACTAAGATACTCTTCTTGAAGTAACAACTGTGTCAAAAGAAATTTGAAAACAGCATATCTCACTTCGGCTGTGTATGGTGGCTCATGCCTGATCCCAGCAATTTGGGAGGCCAAGGTGGGCAGATCACCTGAGGTCAGGAGTTTGAGACCAGCCTGGCTAACATGGTGAAACCCCGTCTCTACTAAAAATGCAAAAAAAATTAGCTGAGCCTGGTGGCAGGCGCCTGTATGCCCAGCTACTTGGGAGGCCGAGGCAGGAGAATTGCTTGAATCCGGGAGGTGGAGGTTGCAATAATCGGGATCACACCACTGCACTCCAACCTGAGCGACAGAGTGAGACTCCATCCCAAAATAAATAAATAAATAAATAAAATGAAATACAAAATAAAAAAATCTCCCTATTCTGTTAATCATTTAAATGTCCTCCCATACCACTACTGATATGCATTTCGCTCTTCTGGTAATAATGCTGTAGTAATCATAGTAGTAATAATAAGAAGAACAAAACATGATAATAGAATGCTCACTTTATGCCCAGCCTTGTTGTAAGCACTTTCACACATTAATACTAATTGATTCTCCTAACACACTATGAGGAAAGCACTTTTACACTCATAGAGCTGTCGAGTTTAAGAGCAGTCACAGATTAAACCCAGGCTCTAAGTCAAACAGACCTTGTTCCCAGCTTGACCGTTTATTTTGCAACCCTGGGCAAGTCACTTTAACACAATTTTGCAGAAGAAACTGAAACGACAAGAGGCAAGAAATAAACGTTCTGTGCCTGGGATGAGGACTCAGTAAGTAGGAAAAACAACAGAAGAGTGGTCTTTGAATCTTTCTGCTGCCATTCACTAGCCGTGTAAGGTTGGGAGGCTGTCTAATATCATCTCTGAAGTGAGATCATATCAATTCCTGTGTAACATCCTGGTCAATGTTTTGAAGTGGCTGCAGTGAATGTCTAACTCAGTAGCTGGCATGTAATAGGCCCTCAATAAGCAGGCCTTATTATTCTGCAGTGTGCTTAGCAAATCCCTATTTACAGCTCATTCTGCACCATTCATTCTTTCTTTCAGATGCTTTCTCCTTTGCTTTCTGCCTGCAATAATAACTACAATAACTCTTTCCTCTGAATTTCATATTATTTATTTTTTAAAGAACCAACTAGTTCTTCCAATGTAATTGAAACTTTTAAAAAGCAAAAAAAAGGCTTAGAAACTTTTAAAAACCATTTATATTATTTAACTCACTATATTCTCCTAAAAGGCACACAAAGAACACTCAGTAGATTAATTTTTAAGTTAATAATGGTATGAAACGAGAAAGGTTATGTCAGCAATACCCAGGAAGCAATACCTTGGATCATAAATACCTTGATCTATGATCATAAAATTGGTATTTATGATCATAAATACCAAGTGAAAAAATATCATGTCTTTTGTTTTCTAAAGATATGTTTTCCCCTTTATGTTGGCTGTCCATAATACTTGATATAAATAGCACCATCTTCTGCTTGAAGATATTGATTTTTTCTCATAAAAATAATATATCTACATTGTTGGTAGGGGTAGAATGGCTTAACATCCAAGATAAACTTCTCAATTTGATTAGAATGTATCATATGCTAATATGTGATCAGTAACATAAAATTATGGTAGAAAGTCAGAAAAATATACTAAAAAAATAGCATAGGAAAATACAAATGCTCCATTAACTCTCTTTCCAGAAATAACCACTATTAACATTTTCTGGTATGTCCTTTTTGCCCTTTTATAAAAAGTGTTCTTTTGGTACATTTTTAATATAACTATACTGGCATCAGGCTACGCATTCTTTTAAAAACAATATGGAAAGGTATTTTTATATTCTTACATATTCTTTGAGAAGATACATTTTTTCAGGAATATACAGCACTTCGACATTTGGATGTCATTATTTAATCAAGCCCTTATTTGTAGAATTCTAGGTTGTTTTCAAATTGCTTCTATTTTATTTTATATATTTATTTACTTATTTATGCATTCATTTGTTTATTTATTTTAGCATCCCGAGGAAAGGCTTCCCACGAGAATCACAGGAGCAGCTGTGAGAAGCAAGACCACACAGAGGTGGGGTAAGTGTGCACAAATGGCAACCACACAGTGCCAAGGTGAAGGAGTGGAAGAAATTGTTCCTATTTCAAATCATTCATTCAGGAACATCTTTGAAATGTATCTTTCTATCCGTGTTGATTCTTCTCTTAGCAAAAAATGTTAAATGTATAATAACAGGTTCAAAAGTTGTAAGCCTTTTTAGGTCCTCAGCACTTCTTGTTCCCATAAAGAGTGATTAGTAATTCTCCATACCACACCGTCACCAACACAAAGGATAATAGAAAAAAAATCTCTGATAATTTGCCTAGAAGACCAATACCAATATCTTATCATTTATGAATTATTAAAAACATGTTACTTAATCATCTAAAGAGAAGACCAATATTTTAGACACCCATCCCAATTATCTTCTATTCAACTTATAAAAATTATTTACAAATGAAAGATGCTGCATTTGTGGAAGGTAACCAGGAAGATACGCAACATTTACTTATTTCAAGTTTTAACCTTGGATCATGCAGGACAAATGAAAAGCTGTCTGTCTGAACTTCAGTTTAATCCACATATAACTATGTTCATTATACTGTCATCAGGAACATACTTTAAGACATGGTTGTAGAAGGCCCACTGCTGGATTTAGTTTACAGATGATACTGGTTGTATTACAACATCTTTTCATGTGAAGGCTCAGGTGAAAAATTTCTATCAGACCTAAGCATTAGAGAAATCTTTGTTTCCTCGAAGTAGCTATGGCACTTTCTTTTCAATTTAGGCAACATAGATATATCAAAGGAACACATTTCAATTTGGGCTTTGTTTAGCAAGAAGTTCGAAGATAAACTTTATAAACGCACTTCAAAAATTATGTTAAGGCATTTCACATACCGATGTGAGCTGTCTTAATATTATTATGTATGTATATAAAATATAGTAATATAATATATATTAGGCCGGGTGTGGTGGCTCATGCCTGTAATCCCAACACTTTGGGAAGCCGAGGTGGGTGGATCGCCTGAGGTCGGGAGTTCAAGACCAGCCTGACCAATGTGGAGAAACCCTGTCTCTACTAAAAATACAAAATTTGCCAGGCATGGTGGCGCATGCCCACAATCCCAGCTACTCAGGAGGCTGAGACAGGAGAATCTCTTGAACCTGGGAGGCGGAGGTTGCAGTGAGCTGAGATCACACCATTGCACTCCAGCCTGGGCAACAAGAGCAAAACTCTGTCTCAAATATATATATACATTATATTATATTATATATATATAATATGCGTGTGTGTGTGTGTGTATATATATATATGGATGTATATACGTAGAGAGAGAGGGAGACAGAGAGACAAAGACAAAGACAGAGAGGCATTGTATTTGTGGATTCCATATTTGTGAATTTGCCCATGGACTAAAATTTATTTGAAACCCCAAAATGAACACTAATAGCACTTTCTTGGTCATTCATGGACATGTGCAGAGGGCCAAAATATTTGAATAATCCAGCATGCATGCTCCAGCTGAGGTGTAACAAGGTGACCCTCTGCCTTGTTGTTTCAGCTCTCACACTGCAAACAAGTGTCTTTTTCCCTCTCTAGGGAGTCCCACGTTTTTCATATTTTGTGCGTTTGTGATATCGCTGTCTAACATGGCCCCCAAGCATGGTACTGCAGTGCTGTCTAGAGATCCTAAGCACAAAAAGGCTGTGTTGGAGAAGCTTTTCTCAGGCAAGAGTTGTATTGTATTGACCATGACTGCAATGTTAAGAAATCAATAGTTTATATTCAATAAGATGTCTTTAAACAGAAGCACACAAAAAGCAAGGTTATATATTGATCTGTTGGTTTTTTGATGAAAATGTTGTGACCAGAGGCTTGCCATTTCCTAACTCTATTTGCCAGAGGAGCAATAGTTCTGTATTCGCTAATTTTGTGTTCACAGAGACTTTAAGGAACATGACTGTTGGGAATAACAAGAATTAAAGGTATTTATTTACTTTCTCTATATGATTGTAATATTATACCCATACTCCTTATTAACGTGCCTTGTTGTTGTTGTTGTTGTTGTTGTTGTTGTTGTTGTTGTTTGAGACAGAGTTTTGCTCTTGTTGGCCAGGCTAGAGTGCAATGGCGAGATCTCTGCTCACTGCAACCTCCACTTCCCGGGTCCAAGAGATTCTCCTCCTTCAGCCTCCCAAATAGCTGGGATTACAGGAATGTGCCACCACACCTGGCTAATTTTGTATTTTTAGTAGAGACAGGGTTTCTCCATGTTGGTCAGGCTGGTCTCGAACTCCCAACCTCAGGAGATCCACCCGTCTTAGCCTCCCAAAGTGCTGGGATTACAGGCATGAGCCACTGCACCCGGCCCAACATTCCCACTTTTGTAACCCATGTTCTATTGACCTGAGTATGGTATGCATGTACACACACAAACATACCCACTTGACCTTAACTATAATCCTTTGACTTACTTATAGTTTATATTATATATAATTATATTTAATTTCTATTAAATTAACATCTAATATTTATCTTTTAGTGTTCTAGTCAAAACAGATTTATAATTTATTTTTCTTATATTTTCTCAACACCTAGTTAAAATGCTTGATTTTGCCCAAACTCCTTTCTATTCGCTTCTCCTGGTTTGCATAGTTCCAATGATACAACAAACACCTCTGGACTACTTTGCCTTTTTTATAACTGTTTTATACTAGTAAAGTGAGCCATTCAAAGAGATTCCCGCTCAGTTTTCCAAATGAGCTACCTAAAATTTTCAGTAATGTTTTATAATTACTTTTCTTAGTTCATGTTACAAATACCTTATTGATTCATACACTAAAAGGTTTGTAAACCAAAATCCACAACCCAATGGTAGTTGACAAACATAAATGAGCACACTATTCTCACTTCAGCATAAGTGACAATGGGAATTTAAACAAACAAGGCATGATTTAAAAATACATAATTAATTTACTAAATCATGGCTTATCCGATCATATTCTTTATGATAATGTATGTCTTTCTCTAGAATAATCTCATTATTTTCTTGTCCAAAAAGTGCAAACAGTGGATTAGGATCTGGAGTAACAGACTGAAAGACAAAATACGTTTTTCCTCCCTCCTAGTTGTACAAACTTGAGCAAGATATGTAACCTATTGGGACCTCAGTTTTCAGGATTAAAGAAGACTTTACTTTTGATGGTTAAATAACATAATTTATGCTAAAAAGAAAAAAAAGTTTAAAAATGGTATATGACATATATTTAATAGCTGTTCCTTTCTCCATTTTCCCATGATAATTGTTAAGTTTAAACACCACAGGCATCCTATATTAGTTCTAGTTACACTAAGTTCTATTTTATTCTTTACATTTCCAACAAAATATTTTGTGAAATATGTAGTATTGCATGACTTGCATATAGTGTAGTTTAAAAAACAGTTCAGGCCAGGCACAGTGGCTCATGGTTGTAATCCCAGCACTTTGGGAGGCCAAGGAGGGTGGATCACTTGAGGTCAGGAGTTCGAGACCAGCCTGGCCAACATAGTGAAACTCTGTCTTTACCAAAAGTACAAAAATTGGCTGGGTATGGTGGTGCATGCCTTGGGAGGCTGAGGCAGGAGAATCACTTGAACCTGGGAAATGAAGGTTGCAGTGAGCCAAGGTCGCACCACTGCACTCCAGCCTGGGCAACAGAGGGCGAGACTCTGTCAAAAAAAGAAAAAAGAAGAACAGCTCAAAATGCACTCATCTTAAAGGTTAGCTTTTGAGTATTAAAGGGTGTTTCTATGCTGACAGAAAATGAAAAGGATAAAAGAGCTCAGTGTAATACTTTCAACAGGGGGGTGCTAATAATTTAAGTATTTATATGGAAATGGATTTTATATTAGAGAAAAATGCGTTAATCTTATTTCTTAAAAGAGACTTGGTCACTTATATATTTAGTATATAGCGACTATTATGAACCATTTAAACGGGAAGAAAAGTGAAAATGTCAGCTTGTATTCTACTGATAGGGAGTTAAATCCACACATCACGCCACAGCAGGATGCATTGCCTAAAACATATTCCCTATGTAGGTCTCTTGATTTTCTTCAAACTTCTCCCTAAAGTATGGTTTCATTTTAATAATATTGAAAAATATGTGCTTTGTGTAGCTCTTATCAAAGGCAATCTTTAAAAATATTAGGATTTTTTCCTATGATTTTTTACTGTCTTTCTCTTTTATCTTCATATTTTAAACAATGAGAAACAGACAAAAATCATATTTTTAGTGAAGATGAAAGAAGCACTTCTTGCATTTCATCCTAGTCTGGTTGAAAGTAGGTACGGCTGCCCTAGAACTATAAGAATCTACATTTATACCTAGTGTTTTCTCTGAATCCAACATGGAATAAAAACCACTCTATACACAACTTCATTAAGCAAAAGGTTGATTTTTTTGTATGTTATGTTTAAGGTAGATCCCTGGCCAGAAAAGCTGTATACCTTAGGATACTGCCTCTTAAAGAGCAAAGAGAATGGCATTTAAAACTTCGGGCATAAGCTTACATGAAAAGGAAAGAGCCAGGGCTGGTCTGGGAACTGAAAACCTGGGAAAAGACTGGCTTATGTTTATAAAGCCCCTTATTGCCTGGCAAAGCTATTCTCATTTATTCTACTAGAGCTCAGAATGACACTCTAAATGAGCAGCAGAGGGCAGAAGCCTTGTAGGGCCCTTTTGCAAGTAGGTGGGTATTTCTTGAAAACAGGTTCAATGAAATGTAATGCCAGGCAGTTAGCAGGAGGAAGTTCTTCTAAAAGTTCGTAGGAGTTTTCTGCAAGCCAGGCCCTGCATCAATGACTGGCTTGTTATTTAGCCATAATTGGAAACATTTTTGGTTGCAGTAGTGAATTATGAAAATACTGCCCTATCACATGACGGCAACACGTTATGAAAGAATTGAATGAATGTGCAGGCCAGCTTGTCAGCCAGGTCACTGTAAAACACCTGAGAACTTCAGCAAGTTGTTCAAGCTTTCATCCTCTGAACTTGAGATTCTAAGATTTGCTTTTATTCTCAAGGAAGTTCCCAGCACCATGTAGCCTTGCCTTTTTCTTCCCACATCCCCATGCCATTCCTTACCATCCTCTACCTACTTTCCCAATCACCTTGCACCAAAAAACCGTCTTGTCACATTTTACCAGAAAACTGAGTTAGAAGATTAAATTAGATGATGAGGTTAGGATGATGAACGACCAAGAGGAAGATAAGGGATGGTTGTTGGGTATAACGGGGAAACCCTCTAGGAAGCCTCAACAAAGGCTTCATTCTCCATGGCAGGCTCCATTCTACCAGGTTCTCCCCCATGAAACTCTCTCTCTCTCTCTCTAACTCTGCAGTTTTCTGGTCTGTTACTTGCTGGGAGAGGACAGATGGGTTAGCATAGGATATGCCAGAGTCTTGGGTCTGTTTCACCATACGCCTTCCTATTTCTTCCAAAATTGACAACTCTGCATTTATAATGGATTTCCTAACCACTTGGTTAGAGTTCCTTAAGAACAATAGCAAAAACAGACCCAAGCTTCTACGACAGCAAGTGGCACCAGGGGATGCTTCCAGGAAAGAATGGCACCTGGTCTGTGAACTATTCACCTTGCCTTCTAACCAAGGCAGGGTTGCACAGCCAATTTGAAGCTGGCCTCCAAGACACTGGGAACAATTATTCTTCAGAGAAGGGTAAGGTGTGCTGAGCACTGCTTATTAAATTGAATGCCTGTATCAGAAGGAAAGCACAATACAATCCTAACAGAACCGCTACCACCCTAATGGAAGATTCTCCCTGTTCAGGCCGCGCACCCATGAAAACGTATGGAGCCAGCAAGAGGAATGTGGAAAACTAGCCGTGGTAGACAGGTAGATTTAAAACATGTTGCTTGGACGTCAATTACTTCGCCATCAAAATGGAGCCAGAACTGCTGTCAACGTTCCTTTATCCTTAACTATTTGTCTAAATACTGGACTAGGTACTTTATTGCATCATCTCATTTAATTGTCACCACAGCCTCATGAGATTCCCATTCAGGAATTATATAATCTGCACCTTCTGTACTTTCTAAAGTGACTGTTTCAACCAGGCTGATCATTGTATTATGAACACCTCCATCATGAGAGTGTTCATGTCTTCACCCTGTCCTTACCACCGTTTCTACTTCCTCGGCCACCTAAGACATAGTCTTCACTAATGTCTCGCTTTTGCAGAAAAACTTCAGCTAGAAATCAAGAATTAAAAAAAAGAAGAAAAAGGATTTAATCCAGATCTATTTTCCACTGGTTTGTCTAATTACTTATGAGTTTTTAATATCTCCTCTTACACCTTATCCTTAACCATAAAGTCCTATACATATTCAATTTACTAAAAATATGCTGTAGCTGATGTTCTAGCTAAGTCAGATGTCCCGACTTCAAATTAAAATTGCATAGTGCATTAATGGTCCTTATAGAACCCTTTAGTTGTTCCACCCCAAAATGAGCCATCTTGGCAGAATTTGATCTGTAAAAAGATAAAAGCAAGATCTAAACAGCAGAGGACCAGGGGAAAATGGTTGTAGGTGTCTTAAGAAAGAACCTGAGAGAAACATTTGTTATAGGGGGCCAGATGACGTCGAAATATATGGAGAACACCAGTTCAGGGACCATAAAAGCAGAAACAATTTAACCGGGAACATGAGAAAAGCTTAATGATTTTCTCTTTGCTTTCTGTCTTATGGCCTGTATAGATTAACAACATTTAACAGATCAAGAGGGCCAAGTTTTTCCATCCAAAAGGCCTTTGCACTCTAGGATGTGATGCTATGTAGCCTAGCTAATCACAACCAGCACAGTTTATTTCTATGTGAAGATAGCAAATAAGAAAAATGTGGTGACCAAATTATTTGGTGGGGTGAGGTGCGGGGAGTCACAGGGGGATCTATCCAGGTAGAAAAGAGGCAGATATGCGACTGAAGAATTGTAAAGTCATTCAATTGGGTTGGGAGGGGGAGAGACAATAGCAAATTTCAAAGACAGAAAATGGCAGTACAAATTACTTTTGTCCATAAGAAAAAGAAAATCCTTTTCTGCACAGAGCTGGAAAAGCCCTATTTTGTGCCCTGTATGAAAGCATTTTGATCAACAATGCAAACACAACTTGAGGCAGAGCAAAACACAAAATTGTAGCTATGATTCCACTCACCAAAAGGGTGGATCTTCGATGTACAATTCAGCTGGCTTTACAGGAGTGCTCCACAGCAAAGCCAAATGACGAAGCAAGCCCCAGACCGCTTAGGCAATTAAAAAGCTGGATGTAACTGTTAAAATGAAAAAGAAAATAGGTAAGATCCAAATGAGCATATAAAGCAAACCCAAAAAAATGCAAATAAATACCATACATCTTCAAAATGTAGGAAAGTTGGAATTAGGAGCTAAATGGACTAAATCGCACACCTTATCTCTTAAAGAATACCTTTCAATAGAGGAATGTAAAATATGGTATAAAACATATTGATTAGTTAAGTCACTTTGACTATGGCACACTATTTCTATTAAGATACATTACCACAATTATAGAATATCTATTTGTTATCCTTCAACGATGATGCAGTTTATACTACAAATGCAGAAATACACAGTATTAGAGTGAGAGAATAGTTCAAATGCATTTTTCTAGCAATATACAGACCTTATGTTTGCTCTTCAGATTTACAAATAATTTATTTCATCTTAAAATGTACAGTTTGCTCATCCATCCAACTTAAGCATGATTTTGCTGACTTTTACATTTAAATATTTACTGGCTAATACCATTGTCAATAGCATGTGGGGTATATCATATAACAGGAAGGTCCCAGTGATCCCAACAGAACTTGCTCTGAGCAAATAAGTTTAATCATCTAAAAACTGGAATATCATAGCCCCTATTTCATAGAAATTGTTGCAAAGATAAAATATAAAATTCTGTGAAAGCACTTGGCACAGTGCCCGGCACGTAAAACTCCTCCAGTACATGTCTGCTGTCCTTGTCACTGTTGTTACCACCATTCCAAGGTTACATGTCTCAACTTCATCAACAGACATGTTGGGCTCATCTCCTAATGACTGATGACTTTGTACAAAGCAATTCCCTGCCCTCCGCACCAACCAAGGCCAAAAAAAGGCAACACATCAAACTAAGCTACACCCAGACATCATTAAGTGACTCACTAAGTTCCTCCTCTTCTGGCAAGTAAAACTAGGACAGTGAGAAAGTGGAAGAAAAAAGAGGGCTTGATAAAGAGGGAGTGACAATAATTGAAAACAATTAGCTCTAATTTCTCTGTTTTGCTCAAGTCATTCTCGTCTTGGATGCTAAATGTATTCCTCCACATGTCAACACAATGAGCCCCGCCTTGTCTGGCCTGTCCAAGGCAGTGTGTAGGATTTTCTAATGAGCTGGGAAGTGCAAGCTTGGCTGAACCCATCTTGAGTGCCCCTGTCCAGCCACAGCTGCATGCTATATTCCTAGACACCCTCCTTACAAGGTCAAGCAGCAATTTAAGACTGATGGCTGCATCTTCCCAACCACTCTGAGAAGCCCTTCTACCCTCCACAAAGGCACCTGGCAATCTGGAATAAAAGCGTTGAGTGCTAGCATCCTGATTTTCCAGACGGTTGGGGGTTGGGGGCGGGGGGGGGCGATTTGTCAAAATTCAATAGGGAAAATGGAATTAAAACCACAGCACACTAGGATTTGGATATCTCCTTCACTAATAAGCACAACCTCATTCAATGTCCCTGAAATCCTCTGAGCCTCAATCTTCTTATCTGTAAAATGGGAAGCCAATGCCTACCATACAAAATTCAGTAATATCGAAAGAAGATGCTTCTGGCACACAACCAAGGATAATTACCATCTATTTTTGCTTTCCTTTTTAAGCTACTTTCCTTACTATTAATATGCTACCTTGGTATATGATTATATGAGAATGGTAGGTATAGGATTGACTAATCAAGATTATGTGTCTTTAAAAGACAAATTGACAAGACTAGACAACACTATAAGACCTTGTGTAAACTTGCTTTGTTTTTGTTTTACTTTTCAAGTCTTCAACTTGGCAAGCAGAGCCCAGCAAAGGAATACGGTTCTTTGATTCCCTCCTTAGAAACACTGCAGCCTTTATTGTCTTTATATCACACAGCTTTAGCACTTAATTATATCCTACCTTGGAATAATTAGATGTCCTTATAATCAAGTCTGTTTACTCACTTGTGCAGTTCTGATCCTTTAAACTCTCTTGAATATTAGTTTGTAATGCTATTAAGAGCCACAATTTAACAATTTTATTACTAAATAAAATTGCAAGAATATTTTGAAGGAGTTCCACCAATGGGTTGAATTTTTTAAAAAATTACCTTTATAATTAGGAATAGTACAAATTTATAAAATAATTATGCCTGACAAATAGAAGCACACAGGGCTTGCGTGCCTTCCCGCCGACTAACTGTGAAGCCTTGGACAAGTCACTGAACTTCATCTGGGACCTGTGTGCAGAGGAACCTGTAGTACGGTCAGACACTTGTCTCAGCTAGATCACCAATTTAGTCGAAAGATAAGTTAAGAATTATCTATAGTAAAAAAACTATAATAAGACAACTGTCCATTTTAGGCAATAGAAAAATGTTAGGTGCTTAGTTATTCTACATAATATAATTATAAATTTAAAACATTTAAAAGCCTGCTGCTAAAATATCAAAGACAAACCAAGCATCGTCAGTGAACACAGTAGTACACTGGGTACAGTGTAAGGATTAAATCACCAGGCTCTACAGCTCAAGTGCCTGGTCTTCACACTTGACAAAAACGCTTAACAGTCACATGATCCTAGACAAGTTATAATCCTCTGTGTTCCTTGGATTCCTCCTGGGCAAGATAGGGATAATAACAATAATAATAATATCTAACCCAAAGGGTTGTGGTAAAGATTATATAGATTATTCACTTAACACAATGGCACATAATAAAAAGTAGCTATTATTAATATTTATTATGATTAGTGAAATGGAGTCACATAAAAATCCACTACTTTCCAAACTGTCAAACTCACACCATGTTTTGTTATTTGCATCATCAATATTTCTCAAATGAGGCTGGGCGCAGTGGCTCATGCCTATAATTCCAGCACTTTGGGAGGCCAAGATGGGGGGATCATGAGGTCAGGAGACCGAGACCATCCTGGCTAACACGATGAAACCCCATCTCTACTAAAAATACAAAAAAAAAAAAAAAAAATTAGCCGGGCGTGGTGGCAGGTGCTTGTAGTCCCAGCTACTCGGGAGGCTGAGGCAGGAGAATGGAGTGAACCCGGGAGGCGGAGCTTGCAGTGAGCCGAGATCGCGCCCCTGCACTCCAGCCTGGGCGACAGAGTGAGACTCTGTCTCAAAAAATAAATAAATAAATAAATAAATATTTGTCAAATGAATAAATGAGAAAGATTTTTTGACTAGTACATTCACTCATCAGATATTCAATAACAAATGGCACACGCTTTAAGACGGTACATTTAACAAATGTTATTTACTAGGTTTTCATCTACATTAAGATGTATCAGATAAAGTTTATATGTTGATTGAAATTAAATACCTTATTAATTAAATGACAGAACTAGGCAAACTCAAAATTTATAGTTTTTCTGAAACAGAAATTTCTGTTACAGTTTACATGCCAAATTTTCTGTGATGACAGTGCGATTTGATCTATATTTTCAAGCTTATTTTTGAATATTTTTTAGCATCATTACAAAACTATCTAAATGGTTCAGCTAAATGAAAATTAAGTAAACATCATTCAAAACCACATCAGCCAATGATAACCACTGCTTACACTTTGGCGAGCATCCTTCTAGACATCTCTCTATAAATAAATTCACTTGGAATAGACAAAATTGTGCATAAGTAGGACAATGCTATACATTGATTTTTATTTCAAAGCTTTTTGTCTATTGGAAATGTACTTTCTAGATTATTGATGCCAGTTAATCTGGGTCCCCTTTTGATTCAATCAAATTATTTTGACTTTCCATTTAATATTTGTAGAAAATTTGAGATATTCAAATACCCTATTTAAAAGTAATATCAGATGAGCAATTTAAAATAATTAAGCATTATTGACATTTGGGGAAAGATTTGGAGATTCTTTAATTTGCATCATTTAGATGAACTTTTCTACCGTTAAACATATAAATCAGAAAAATTAAGCAAACACCAGACTACATATCTTACACAAATGCCACAAATGAAAGCGATATAGAAAAACCTATAAAAATCCAGACAATAGGAATAAAACTTGCAAGATGTTGTTATCTTCATTCAAACTACCAGCTCCCTTAATGGAAATTAAGTTTATAGGCTTAAAAGAAATATTAACAATTTTCCCTTTAGATATAAAGAGAATGATATTACAATGTGAGGAATGGGAGATTAGTAAATGCTAATTAGTTGACTTCTTTCTAATGAATAAAAATACATATTTCACAGACATAAAAATACGAGCATATGAGTTTCATTCCACACAGCAGAAGAAAATGAAATGACGAGTTCAAACGAATGAATTTCAGAATACTCAAGCTATTTTGCATTCTACTGTTCATATAACTGTTTTAGAACTTCAGCCTTATTCCAAAAAGAAATATTCTAAGTCCACATAAAAGATCTCTCTATTACTTAATACAGAAATTTCATAATGAGGCATTTGGGACTCACAATAAAATAATTTTATAACACAGAAAATTATTACTTGGTCTGTATATACCAAAACCAGTCAACTAATATTATTCACTCATTTATTTGAGAAATATTTAATTGAGTGATGATTATGTATGTGATACCATTTCAAGCCCCAGGTCTACACTGTGTAATATAGTAGCCACCAGCTACATGTGGCTGATGAGTATTTGAAATGTGAGTATTCTGCAATGACATGCACTGCAAGTGTAAATTACATACCAGATCTGACAGATTTAATATAAAAAATGCAAAATATCTCAATAACATTTTTACTTTGGTTATACATTAAAAAGATAAGGTTTGGTATCTCAGGTTAAATAAAATATATTAATACAATTAATTTCACCAGCTTTCCTCTCTCATTATTTATCATGTGCCTATTAAAAATTTACAATAACGCATGTGGCTCACATTATTTTCTACAGAACAGCCCTTTCCCAGGCGATACTGGTGGTGAACAAAGAACACAGATGTCCTGTGTATTTATGAAGTCTGCATGATTGTGACTGGGCACTAATGCTGTTTAAGGACCTGGGTCCCATGCTAAGGAAGGTGTATTCAAATATAAGCTGCAAGCCAACCCCTGCAATTTTGCCATCTACTATTAAACTTCAGAAAGACACATCAAATGTCACTTAAGAACGGTGATGCTGTTAAATTCGAGCAGCCTAAAATACAACTCTTCCTTATGTAAAGAAGTCTCTCTACTAAAGTTATGGTTGTTCAATGCACCTCACTTCCTTTATCCTGAGGAAAGTGTTTGACCAATGTGCAGTGCAGAACCCACCATGTGCTGTGGATGTTGTCCTCAAGCTCCAGAGGAAGGAGGAAGATGTCACATTTTATTTGCTTTTAATGGCAAATTTATACAGTGGAGCAAGTGGCCTCATCACAAATGCTATTTGAAATTCATTGATATCCTCAAGCTAGCCAAGTTGGATCTTAGGAGGAAAGGGCTGGGAGAAAAATATTTCAAAACATCCAGAGGCTCCTGAAACATCCCTCAGGATCTGAAGATCCACTGTGGTTATGACCAATACATTAGAGAACTGTCGAGTGTATGTTAGAGATGAATGAGCAGAGCATAGTCTTTGGTGATCCTGACCAACATCATAAAGAAATTATGGGCAGCCAAAGAGTAATGACAAGATATGCTTAGAATAAATTTAAAATAGCACACCTTGGTTTTCTTATATGTTTTATTCCCTCCAAAACCACTTCCATTCAAAAAAGTGTCTTATTCTTGTTAAATGGAATCTTGGAGTTTCCACTCTTTAAGACAGCATTTCAATTAATTTAACTCACCCTCTCTTTCATCCAGAGCTTTCCACAATAATCTGTCAAATGTTGGCATGGCTTTGCTCAGAATACGTGGCTTCTATCTTAAAGATGCACCAAGTCAATCAAAACACAATCATATTTTCAACATTCAAATGCAGGATCTGTGACAAAGCTTATGTTCAAAGGCTTCAAAAAAAGGAAAAAAAATTCTGCAAAAGTTTAGAAATATTACATGGTATTCCATGTAATATCAATTCATTAAGCAATTCTGAAAGGTTCAAATCTTATTTTGCTTAAGGGTTGTCTGGTACAGAAATTACTGAAGTTTTTAAAATATGCACCCTCTCCCTGCTTATTTTCTGAATGAATAAATACGAGACCAATTTTATACAGAATCACTTCAACTTGAACTAATAATTGTTTATTGCATGCCTAGAATAATGTTTGTTTTAGATGAATACATATAAAAAGGAATGTAAAAGAAAACATTAAATCGGTCAGTAATTATAATTAATTCATAGATAGTTGAGACTCATTTGCTTTTGCTAAAGTATATAAAATAGTACTCATATGGAGGCCTAGAGTGCAATCAAATGAGTACTAAATCATATGAGGACTGTTATCATTTACTGAATAGCTTAGAATACAAAATACCATTTTTGAAGAAAGATTAGTATAAGCAGAAACCTGTAGGTCTCACCAGAAACTGTGAATCCCTTGCTGATTATTTTCTTTATTTTGAGGGATGTACGTGGCTCATTTTCAGGAAATTTGAAATCATTAACAAAAATTAAAAACTGCCAAAAGATGTTGCTTGGAATTTGATTTGCATTGAAACATTCTGGGACATTTGATTTGTTCATGAAATATATAAGGACATATATAAAATTCTCACTCATAGGTAGGAATTGAACAATGAGAACACTTGGACACAGGAAGGGGAACATCACACTCCGGGGACTGTTGTGGGGAGGGGGGAGGGGGGAAGGATAGCATTAGGAGGTATACCTAATGCTAAATGACGAGTTAATGGGTGCAGCACACCAACATGGCACATGTATACACATGTAACAAACCTGCACATTGTGCACATGTACCCTAAAACTTACAGTATAATAAAAAAAATTCTCATCATCTCTTTTTAAATGTGAGTGGATAGGAACTAACCCATGGAATAAGAATGCTTGTTAAATCATCAAAAGAGTCTGACCTTTGTGTATGGAAGCTGGCTCCCCTTAACTGATGCCCCATCCTACTCCTTGGTTTGGTAATATAGTAATTATCATACTTAACCTTTGTCCATGAGAAACCTATTTAATTGTTGATCTGATCCTCTCAATTATCACCCACAATATCCCTCAAAGATTCATCCAGTTGTTCATCATATTCACTCCTTGATATGGAGGCAAATGAATTCTTTCCCGCACTCCCTTGCCCAGCACTCACACCACCCAGGGAGAGTTATTCAAGTGAGCAAGTGAAAAGAGATCAAGTGAGTGGACCACTTAATGGTTCATCAACACTCAGTCATCCTTGATGAAAACGACCAGAGCTACAAAGTGACAGCAGAATACACACTAACTGCAGCATTCCACTGAAAGCGATACAGTACAACTACAAAAGAAAGAGAAGGAAGCTTAGGGTGCTCTGTTTATAAGGAATTTGGTTTCCAAATACACAAATCCTGACCACTGTTGTCTATGATAAATTTTCACAGTAAGCACAGTAAGCTATCCAGTCCATGAATAAACACTTCTGGATCACCTTTAAATGGGCTTTATGGGAATTCAGTTTGAAATGAGCACTTTACCAATAGCCAGAATTGATTCCTATCTTTGCATTAAGAATAATTCCCATTGGACTTCTATTTATCAACACGGTATTAGCCATCACTATGTATTATTTGTAGTTAGCTGAAAATAACGACTTTGTATTTCTTTAAAATAATTCATATTTCTGTCCCTCACTCACACTACTCATACACGTTGTGTGTCTGCACACACACATCCTTTCTCCCTCACATACATACACACAGTGACTCAATGCAGGCCATTACAATCAAAAGGAATTTACTGTTTGTGGAATATTTTAGAAGAAGAAAGTGAAGAAGGGATACAGAAATGTGGAAATAACATGTGTTTGCAATATTTTGAAAATTAAAGATCCCATATACCAAATGTCATATATATAATTATAGTTTTGTATTTTCTAAAAGTACAATCATTAAATAGATCAAGCTGTTAGATTATTAAAATAAAAGGTTATGTGCTAAACTTTTAAATACATACAATGTATTTTAATCATATTGCTGTCAGATCTAATGGCATCAACAAAAGTGAGGGATACACATTCAAAATCAATTTCAGAGCTAAATACTCATTGTATACGGTGCCAGTAGAAATAATACCAGTCTTCCAAAATAAAAAAATAAAATTTACTTTATTTTTATTACTGTGTTAGTCTTACCGACATGAACTGTACCCTTTAAAACGCAAATTCTCTAGTAACAGTAAATATAACCACTGTCTAAACAAGAAATCAGCATAATTATTGTATTAAAAAATAAATATTTCCAGAAGCAGCCAACAAATGCCTTCATCCCTTTCGTTACTCTCCCCCTAATTAATTAACAGATTGGCACAGTCTAAGAACAAAATTTATTTTCAATTAAAATAAGAATCCCGTATGTCATGATAATTTTTTGTTACTATTTGTAATGTGCAAAACAAAGGTTTGCTTTTAGCACCGAACATAGTAATCAAAACAAATCCTTTAATTTTCAATAACTGTAAGGATACTTCAAGAGTTGTTCTCGTAGCAAGGTACTACCTCGATGGTTAATCCTATTAAGAACTGAGCCATGCACTGCAACTAAATCCTCTGGGGAATTTGAGGAATGAAAGGCTTACTGCACACTTAGAAGGCAACGACTTTTGTAAAGGGCTCTATTATATGAGGAACAAAAGAATACCACTTGTGTACTTAAATATCATCTGCTTTTCCTTCCAAAATACTCCATTTTTAAGTAAAGATATGTGATTTAAATGTATTTAGAGTTCAGCTTTTGGCACGACTCTCGTTTCTGAGTAGAAGTGCCATCTGCGGGCCCCATGGCTCACGCATAATGATATGCTTACAAGCTGCTTCCCTTTTCTGCACAATGTACCCTTTTCACTTTAACATACATTTTCCATAAATTTTTGAATAACAAATTGGGCCGTGGAAGTTTGTTGAAACGGGACAAGGGAAATGCCTGTAGGCTAGAAAACGGCGATTTTACTCAAGAAATTGGTGCAGCGGAAAATATCCACTCCACCAGTCCAACCCTCCCCCAGGCCCCCGTCCGCCTACCTTGGGCTGTGACACTTTAAAATTGTAGGGGAAACTTCTTCTCCCCTCAATATATTAGGTCTGTACATTAACTTGGGCAAACAGCCCACATGCCTGCCATCCATTACACCTGCTGGGTGACAAACAGATGAGAGTCATCACGCAGACTCCCAACGTTTGATCTCCTGATAACGCCAGATGTCCTCCATTCACATTCAAACATAACCACCGTCATTAATGCAACTCGCCCGGCTGGCATTTAATAGGGAGAAAAAGTTGAATTCTAATCTAAAATCCTAACTATCCAAAGCTTTCAGGGTGTGAATATATAGGCTATTAAATATGCTTCAATTTGTAAACTTTCTAGCCATTAAGAGAACTGATTTCATTATCAGGATGGGAGCTGGTTCAGATGGTCAGATTTTGCACATATTTCAAAAGAAGACCTGTACAATTACACATTTGGCTTCTGAATTTAAACAACAAAACATACCTTTCCTGTATCTGTCATATGCTTAAGCACAGTAAGAATAATCTTAATTGTTGGCTGTAGTTCAAATATACCACTTACTGAAAGGCTGAGTGAACAAACAAATAATCAAAGTCGAGGAAGCCATTGACAGAGAAAAATGAGATTCCCCCACCCCTGGCCTAATAGCAGACATAAAACTGTTTAATGATAAGGTTCTATTAGAGAACATTTGAAAATGCAGATACACAGACATCGTTCCAGGTCTACTAAATAGGAATCTCCAAGGGTAAGGCTCAGGAATTTTAAAACTTCCTCGTTAATGCTTTTGAAACCAGTCCTAGACCTTGAGTTTGGCAACTCCTGGAACTGTGTGTGAGAACATAATTTAGCAGCTTGGCTTTGGGGGATGTTCTTCTCATTTTTTCTTTTAAAAAGAAAATATTTACATGTGTCTACTCCGTGCCTGACACAGAATCATAAGCTCTGCAAGACAAGGTTTATCTCTGGAGAGTCAACACGTGGCTCCAGAAACAGATATTGAGATGCCCAACATGAGGGCAAAAGACATTCTTATACTTGAAATACAGGGAGTGAAAAAGACCTGAGAAACTGTCTAGAAACTTACAATGTGTCCACCAATTGGACATTTCTAGAAGATGTGAGAAGAAAGAAACCAGTTGACCTACATCAAAAATTCTCAACATCTATGACTAGAAGGGGGTCTGACTTCTTCAAAAGAAGAAGGTTGAATTTTGGCATTAAGGAGGAAGCCAGAAAGATTGTGTTTCTTTCTGTATCCTTCCTGTACTAATACTCAGATCCATTTAGATCTTCTCTCTCCTTCTAGCTCCTTCGACCTTTGGATTTAAACTATTTTCTCTGCCAAGAAGTTCTCATTGATCAGCTGTCCCAAGCCCCATAGTCACTCCACCACAATACCCTATTATATTTTCTTCATCTCACTTATTGCTATGTGAAATTATTTTCTTTGTTTCTTTTTTAATACATTTCTTGTGTGTCTCCCTACATTAGAGCAGAGACCTTGCCTGTCGTGTTCACCTGTCCCCAGGATCTAGAACAACACCTGGCATGAAGTAGGTAAATGTTCAATCCATGTTGAATGAATAAATTAATGAATCAAAAATAGTTATACAATACTTATAATTCCTTGATTCTTTCTTTCACCAGACACAGATTTTTTTTTTCAATGTGTATTCTTGGACATGGAGTCTTAGTGAATTTTTCATTTAAAATCCAACCTGAGTTCTTTTTTATGTTTCTTTTGGCCTGTCTGCTATCTAGATTTTATCCATTTGGGATTTTTATGCTTGAACTCAGTTCAGTAGCAATCAATTTTTACCTAAACCCAACCTACCTTTAACCCACGTCTCAGCCAGATTTATAAAATACCCTATTAGCCTTCAGAAGAGACAGCAATCCAAGCGATATTCAACTATTACATTCCATACTAAAGAAGATAAAGAGCAACAACAAAAAATGCTCTCAAAGAGAAAACACTTGAGGAATTTCTGTTTTGATTTCAAGGCAATAAAGGAAAAATTGAGACCAACAACTCATAGAAGAGGAATTAAACATTGAAATCACTGCTTTAAGGCTTTTGGTAACAATGACAAATATTAAAATTACTAAGTGCCATGAAGCCACTTTTACTTTAGTTATTTCTGTGGCTGTTCAGCACATCCCTGCAATTTCATAGCACCTACTAATGGAAAGTGAGCTCAGATTCTATTGACAGTTTCATGACAAGTCATACTTCACCTTCCATTGTCCACTCTTCTTAGCTGTTCATTATCTTGACAGCTGTGCCTACGAGATAATGATACACTCTGCTTCTACCCCTGACTGTAACACGTTTTTGCTCCAGGGTTCCTTTTAATTGAAACACATTGTCTGTGTTACTGTTTTTGGTGCAAAAGTAAACACGTTTAACACACGAATTCAGTTTGTATTTGCTTTACCAATAGGGATTGTGTAAAAAGTTACCTGCCTCTAGAAGACTGATTGAATGATCCTTTTGATGCTTGAATATTTTTTACTCTTTTCTTTCACTTACGTTACCATTTGTCACTGCTGTGGATGTGATTATCAATTATCTCTGTGAGAAAAATTACTGTGGCCATCCTTACCATTTCCCTGAGTGTCCCAAACCCACGCAGGAAATATTTAGTAATGTTTCATCAACCCTTGAGCATAGAATTCACCGAAAATGCTTTTGCTTTTAAAAAGTTTGTCTAATAAATTGTGCCTGTTAAATTATCTGTGTCCATTGCAAATTGCATTAAACAGCCACCAGTTGACTAGAACAGAGATGCCCAACTTTAGGATGAGTGCGATCTGAGCAAGGTGTTACCCTTGCAAACCACATATTCTCAGACTCTGAACTCTTTCAAGGAGAATAGCTGAATTCTTTCCACCAACAAATATATTTAAAAAAATAAATGCGTATAATAGGAGCATTAGGGTTTATTCAAGAAGAAGCAGAAGATAAAGACTACTTTCTCTTCCAATAAAATAAGCATTAACTGGGATTAACATTCGTGTGCGTGTGTGGGGGGTGCGTATGCATGTGTGTGTGTGTGTGTGTGTGTGTGTGTGTTTTGGAGAGAGATTAATCACGCACCACCCCTAGAAGTAAAATGTTCTTCAATGTTAACATATAGAAGAATCACCTGGAAAACTAAAAATTTTAGAACACTAGACACTCCCTCAAATATTCTAATTCTGTAAGTCTGGGGAAAAGACCAGAAATCAGCTTTTAACAAGCAACAACAGGTGATTCTACTACAGAGAGTCCATACCTGTGATGTCCAATATGCCAGCCATGAAGCACTAAAAATGTGGTGAGTCCAAAATGAATGTTGAATGTAAAACACACACACTGGCTTTCAAAGACTCAATATAAAAACAAGCATATAAAATATCTTAATAATAATATTTACATTAATTACATGTTGAAATGATAATATTTTAGGTATGTTAGGTTTAATAAAATATACATATATCAAATTTAATGTATTTCTTTTTTTTTTTTTTTTTTGAGAGAAGGTCTTGCCCTGTTGATCAGGCTGGAGTGCAGTGGAATGATCTTGGCTCACTATAATCTCCACCTCCCCAGTTCAAGTAATTCTCCTGCCTCAGCCTCCCAAGTAGCTGAGATTACAGGTGCTCACCACCATGCCTGGCTAATTTTTGTATTTTTAGTAGAGACAGGGTTTCACCATGTTGGCCAGGCTGCTCTCAAACTCCTGACCTCGTGATCCGCCTGCCTCAGCCTACCAAAGTGCTGGGATTACAGGCGTGACCCACAGCGCCTGGCCTTCTTTTTGCTTTTTAATGTGGTCTAAATTTTTAAAAAAATATATTCGTGGCTCATATTTGTATTTGTATTGTAATTTATGTTTCTATGTGAACTTATTTTTCTATTGGGCAACAATGGTTGATACACTTTACAAGGCAGAGGTAGTAAAGGAATTCTAATCGTACCACCAGGACCAAGGTGTGTAAGAAAAATGTTAGTATATAAGGTGTATTTCAATATTTCTACAATATCTGACAAAGATACATCCATTGCTGCAGTGCCACATAAGTAAATTTCTATATAGAATTTGTTTTAATTAAAAAGTTTTTAATTTATGAATTAAAACAAGTTCTAAGTTGAAATTCTATATAGAAATTTACTTATTCTGGCTGGGCACGGTGGCTCATGCCCATAATCCCAGCACTTTGGGAGGCTGAGACTGGTGGATCACCTGAAGTCAGGAGTTTGAGAACAGCCTGGCAACATGGTGAAACCCCACCTCTACTAACAATACAAAAATTAGCCAGGTGTGGTGGCAGCCACCTGTAATCCCAGCTACTTGGGAGGGTGAGGCAGGAGAATCGCTTGAACCTGGGAGGCGGAGGTTGCAGTGAGCTGAGATCACGCCATTGCACTCCAGCCTGGGCGACAAGAGCAAAACTCCATCAAAAAAAAAAAAAAGACATTTACTTATTCTATCAAATAAGCATTTGAAGTATCAAATAACTATCAGTAACTAGGAATCAGTAGCTGTTAGTAACCAGCTTTCAGTGGTTATCAACTCCCAGATGTTGCTGGTGCTTGCTTTCAATTCTGAATGCCTTTGGGGAGTAACGTATGTATGTGTGTATATTTCTACATAAGGACATTGTTTATACTATCCACTACAAAGTATGATCTTTCATTTGGCACCTCAACTACAAGGTAGTAGAAACATTCGTCTGAAAAACTGTTAAGTATATCCAGTATAGTTTTAATTGGCAATAGCTACATAATGGAATAAATAGGTTTATATGGGTGAATAGGAACATTATCACCCCTGTTAATTAACATTCTCTCTGTTGAGCAATGCACTATGAATTCCAAAAAGTTGACATAAATGGGAGCTTCTAAAATCAACATGTTAGGAATGACTACTTGTACTCCTAAATTGTCCATTATTATTTTATTAAAGTGAGTTTTGTGCATTAAGGTTTGCATTTTGTATGTTTTAATGACAGTGAGGGAATTCCAGTGTTACCTTTTCTGATTCATATGCTGCATATTCACATTTAAATGATGGATCATATCAGAGGTTTGCAGACTTTCTCAGTTTGCAGTACCCTTAGTGTCTCAGTAATATTTTCATGGTTCCCCTAAGGCAAGAGAATTACCTGACAGTTCCTGTAATAAGCATTTAGGTTCAAACAACTTAATAGTAGCAGTTTAGACTTGGGGGTGCTGTCTTTTCTTGTATATTTGAAATATCTTGTAGATCCCAAGTGAGTTTGCTGAAGCTCACCCAGTCACCTCAGCCCACAGTTTGAGAACTGAAGATTATATAGATTTAAATGGTCTGGAAAGTAAGATGAGCTGTGCACTTTCTCTTTTCCTTTTCTTTTTCTTTCTTTCTTCTTTTTTTTCCCCGCCCCCCTCTTAAGAGACAAAGTCTTGCTCTGTTGCCTGAGCTGGCGTGCAGTGGCACTGTCATGGCTGACCGAAGCCTTGAACTCCTGGGCTCAGGTGATCCTCTCATCTCAGCCTTCCAAGTAGCTGGAACCACAGGCATGCACCACCACACCTGGCTGATTTTTTATAGAGATAGGGTCTTGCTATGTTAACCAAGGAGGTCTCAAATTCCTGGCTTCAAGTGATTCTCCTGCCTTACCATCCCAAAGTGCTGGGATAACAGGCATAAGCCATCATACCTTGCCAAAAATTGTATACTTTCTAAGAAACAGAATACACCTAATAGCAATAGCTATTTAAAGTTTTTAAGTAATTAACATATTTTAATTATCAGAGTTTGTAAAAGTCATCATATATTGCACCCCTGGTCAACTATCTCTAGATTGATATTTAGCATAGAATATATGAGTCAATCAGTTGGTCAATCAACAATTATTTATAGAATGCCTATTATAGGTCATAGACTCTACTCTCAAAACTTAACAAAACTTCAATACTGACCCTTAACTTCTGTTTTCTGGCCTGGCATGTAGAGAGCCTTGAAGTCACTGCTCCATCTTAGCAAGCGGAAACCTGAACAAACTGAAAAATCAACAACTCTTCTTAGATATGTCAGATAAGTGAGGTCATTGGTCAAACTGCTGGCCCCTGAATTTAAAAGACTTGTAGGTATATTCAGGGAATAACATAATGGAGCAGAAAGCCACAAGCAGAAACCTCTGTGGAACCAGTGTTGGGGTAAGGAAATCTGAACTGTAATTGATGAATTGCTGGAGGCTCAGTGTGGACAGCTCCAAGATTTAAAAACTCCAGCAGGACCCAGTCATAGGGAGGCTCCAACATATTTGTGAGTTTTAACTCCAGGAGCTCTGCCAAATCCTGACAGTGAGTATTAGAGAAAAATCCCCCTGTGCTTCTGGCAGGGGAAGGAGGAAAGGAACTATTTTGAAATACACCAGAGCATTCTGTTCTTCTTAACAAGGTCTGCTCTGAAGAGCAACTATTTTACTAAAGCCTAAGCTCCTGAATAGGTAGCATAACCTAACCTACCTGTGCTAAGAGAAATATCAACTCCAGTTTTCTCTAGCCTTCCATGGAGTGAAAGGGAAAATACCAACTTTAGCCCCTTCCAGCCATCCTGTCCCACATAAAGGGAGTGGGGAAACTGAGAAGCACTGATGAAGTTCACAGTCCAGGTCCACTGAGACTTAGCTAGAAGAATATAAAACACCCCTCTCCTGCATCTTATCACTGCATTACAAAAAGTTTTATTTACCACAGGTGTTTTTACCCAGTACACCATGCCCATCTTTGAACAAAAAGTTGCAAGACATAATGAAAGGCAAAAAAATATACAGTGTAAAGAGACTGTACAAGCATCAGAACCAGATTAGAGATGGCAGGGTTGTTAGAATAATCAGACCAAAAAGTTTTTTAAATGACCATTAATAAGCTAAGGATCTTAACAGAAAAAGTACACAACATGCAAAAATAGATAAATGATGTAAGCAGAGAGTTGCAAATTTCAGGAAAAAAATTAAAAGAAGAAATGCTAGAGATCTAAACCATTGTAAGGGAAATAAAGAATACTATTAACTGGCCCATTAGTAGACTGGACACAGCTTAAGAAATAGTATCTGAGCTTGAGGATATGATAATAGAAATTTCGAAAACTGAAAAGCAGGGAGAACAGCACATGGAAAAAAAGAACAGAATATCCAAGAACTGCAGGACACATACAAAAGATGTAACATATTTGTGATGGGAATATTAGAAGGAGAAGAAAGAAAGAAAGGACCACAGGCAATATTTGAAGCAATAATGACTGAGGATTTCTCAAAATTAATACCAGAAATGAAACCACAGACCCAGGAAGCTTGGAAAACACCAACCAGGATAAATGAAAATAGGAGGGAGAGGAGGAGGAGGAGGAGGAGAAGAGAAAAAAACTAACAAAACCAGAGAATAAATAAACACCTAGGTATATCATATTCAAACTTCAGAAAATCAAAGGTCAATATTAATAAAATATGAGGGAAGTAATATATATATGGCACATATATATTTATATAGATATATTTATATAGATATATATTTATATAGATATATTTATATAGATATATATTTATATAGATATATTTATATAGATACATATTTATATAGATATATATTTATATATTTTATAGATATATAGATATATACATAAAATACATATATATTAAAATATATATGTATAATATATATAATACATATATATTAAAAATATTAACTATAGAAAGACAAAGGTAAGATTTACATCCAACTTTGCCCCCAAAACCCATGCAAGCAAGAAAGGAGAAGAGTGAAATACTTAACATTTTGGGAGAAAAATACCTGCCACCTGAGAATTTGGTACCCTGTGAAATTATCATTCAAATAAAGGAGAAATATATACTTTCTCAAATTAACAAAATTGGAGGGAATTTGTTGCCAGTATAACTGCCTTGTAAGAAATGTCTAAAGAAAATAAATTAACATAATCCATCAACCAACAGCTTAAACAAGAAAAATCACTTAGTCATATCAATAAATTCAGAGAAAGCATTTGACAAATCCAACACTCAATTATAATAAAAAAATCTCAGCAAAATAGGAATAGAGGAGAAATTCCTCAGCTTGATAAAGAACATCTGTAAAAAACATACAGCTACCTTAATGTTTAATGGTGAAAACTTGAAGCTTTCTCACTAAAATCAGGAACAAGGCAAGAACGTCCCCTCTCACCACTGCTCTTCAACATTGTACTGGAAAACCTAGCTAATGCAATAAAATAAGAAAAGAAAAGAAGCGGTATACAGATTGTGAAAAAAATAAAACTGTCTTTTTTCACAGTTAGCATGATCATCTATGTGGAATATCTTAAATAATCTACCCAAAAATATTTTAAAAACCTCCTAGAACTAATAAGCAATTACAGCAGTTAGAAGGTTAATATATAAAGGTTAATTGCTTTTATTTATACCAGCAATAAACAAGTGGAATTTGGAATTAAAAACACAGTATCATTTACATTAGCACTGACAAAAATTAAATACTTATGTTATAAATATGACAAAATATGCACAAGATCTATGTGAGGAAAATTACAAAATGCTTATGAAAGATATCAAAGAAGAACTGAATGAATGGAGAGATATTCCATGTCAATGGATAGGAAAACTCAATCTTGTCAAAATGTCACTTCTTCCCAACTTGATCTATAGATTCAAAACAATCCCAATCAAAATATTACCATAAAGCTATAATAATTGAGACTGTGTGGCAATGGTGAAAGAATGGACAAATAGATCAATGGGACAGAATAAATAACCCAGACAGAGACTCATGTACATACAGTCAATTGATCTTTGACAAAAGAGCAAAAGCAATACAATGGAGCAAGGATAGTAGGATAGTCTTTTCAAAAAATTAGGCTAGAACAACTGGACATCCACATGCAAAAAATAAAAATAAATCTAGATAAAGATGTTGTGCCCTTCACAAAAGTTATCTCAAAATGGATCAGAGATCTAAATGCAAAATGCAAAACTGTAAAATTTCTAGAAGATAACATAGGAGAAAAATCTATATGACCTTGAGTATGGCGATGACTTTTTACACACAACATCAAAGGCACAATCCATGAAAGAAATAATTGATAAGCTAACTCCATTAAAATTAAAAATTCTGCTCTGCAGAAGTCAATGTCAAGAAAATGAGAAGACAAGCCACGGACTGTGAGAAAATATTGTTAAAAGACAGATAGGATAAAGGACTCATCCTAAATTACAAAGACCCCTTAAAACTCAACAATAAAAAGATGAACAACCCAATTTTTAAAAAATGAGCTAAAGTCTTAAACAGACACCTCACCAAAGAAGATACAAAAATGGCAATTCAATATATGAATAGATGTTCAATATCATATTCATTAGGAAATTGCAAATTAAAACAATGGGATACTATTCTGCACTTACTAGAATGGCAAAATTTAAGACACTGACAATACCAACTCCTGGTTAGGATGTGGAGCAATGAGAAATCTTAATTCATTGCTGGTGGGAACATAAAATGGTACAGCCACTTTGGAAGACAGTTTACAGTTTCTCTCATAACTAAATATACTTTTACCATATGATTCAACACTCACACTCCTTGGTACTTATTCAACGGAGTTAAAAACTTATGTCTACACAAAAATCTGCACACAGATGTTTACAGTAGCTTTATTCAATTGCCAAAACTTGGAAGCAACCAAGGTATCATTCAGTGGGTTAATGAATAAACTGTATTATATCCAGACAATGGAATATTATTCAGCACTAAAAAGAAATGAACTATCAAACCAAGAAGAGACATGGAGAAAACTTAAATGCATGTTACTAAGTGAAAGAAACCCATCTTTAACAGCACATATGGTATGATTCCAACTATACAACGCTGAAGAAATGGTGAAATTGTGGACAGTAAAAAGATTAGATATTTACAGGAATTAGCAGGAGATAGAAATAAATAGAGCACAGAGGATTTTTACAGCAGCTAAACTATTCTGTATGACATACTACAGTGGTGGAGACATGTCGTCATCCATTTGTCAAAACCCACGTAACGTGCAACACCAAGAGTGGACCCTTATGTAAACTATGGACTTTGGATGATAATACTGTGTCAATGTCAGTTTGCCTATTGTAACAAATGCACCACGGGTGGAGGATGTTCTAGTGGAAGAAATTGAGTATAGGAGAATAGGTATATGGGAACTCTCTGTCCTTTGCTCAATTTTGCTATGAACTTAAAACTCCTTCTAAAAAATCAAGCTTGTTAATTAAATAAAAATAAAACTTTCAAAATAAAGGGCTATACCTGGAAATACCTATGGTTAGTTATGCAACCTTATATAATAATGAGGTGGCTAACAGTGCAAGTTAAATACCCTGTTGTGTAAAGTGGATGGAAAAAATCAATACTTCCAATCAATTAGAGGTTGGTTTAATTTTTAAATTAGGGATCTCATTATGTTGCCCTGGCTAGTCTCAAACTCCTAAAGTCAAGTGATCCTACTGCTTCAGCCTCCCAAGTAACTGGCACTGCAGGCATGCTCCACTCTGCCCAGCCCAAGTAGAAGATTTTAATGGTGAAAAAGTTCATGGATACACATGGATAGACTCTTTACGGCTGATAATTTGGAGTTATAGCCAGTTTAAATTGAAGCACTAAGTAAAATGTATTCAGAGGCAAGGATATGTGACCACTCAATTAGCACATACAAACATCTGCTCCAACAGTGAATCTATTCATTCCACAAACATTTAGGGCCTACTATGCAGCCAATATCACGCAAGTGCTTCCGAGTCTGAGATATAGGTGCTTCTGACAAGGAACTTAGTTAATAAGGAGTTAATAAAATTAATGCATGTTAATACCATGCTTATAAGAAAAGAGCATATTTTGTAAGTCTCCATGTAATAAGTGTCATAAGAAAAAATAAAAAATATAGTAGAAGAAACCAATACTGGACAAAATACTTCAGTCTGGGAAAAAGTTAACATATGGCCAAGTCTTGAAAGATGAAATAATTCACCAGATAGAAATGGGAGGAGAAGGAGAATTCCACTAGAGGAACCAGCATGAAACAGAGGCAGTGAGGTGAGGAGCCTTTTCTGAGGATTGGAGTTTAGCTGGGATGTCACATATGCAAATTAAAGTAGATAGGAGCCAGACTGGAGAATTTTAAGTGGCAGTTTGGACTAGATTTAGTCAACACTGGGAAGAAAGCATTGAATAATTTTAAGTAAAGGAAGATAACATGAATGTCACTGAGCTTCTAAAAATCTAAGCAACTGGACTTTTGATTGGATACGAGAAGAAGTAAAGAGGTGATAAAAACTATTTCCAACAGTGCCCAGGAGAATGCTTACTTAGGGGAAAAAAAAAAAAGAAAACTCATATCTTAGCTTACGATGTAAACTTTACATATATCGTCTATATTATATTAACATCAACATCACTGTAATTCTAAAGGAAAGACTATTTCAAAGCCTGATAATTCAGTAACCTAGTATATTAAATCAATCTAAGTGAATTATGAGACTTTATGCTCTCTCACAGAAATGAAAAACAATTTAAGTAATTCACTGTTTTCCAAAGTGTCTCTTAAAAGCAGCATATTTGTTGTATCATATACTACAATGCTCTTTCAAAGGACCGTTTAAAATAAAGTACTACCAGATCCTCTCTGTATGTGGAACAATGTTAAATTCCAGCTCTGCTTGGAGCATAATTGAGTACCCATAACACCATAAAATTTTTATTAAATTACGGTGTTGGGAATGAAATGTAAATTTGTCTTCCAATATGATGTTGGCATTTCAACCTTTTTTTCAGGCTGAATATTATTAATAGTAAAAGTTCAGGGAATAAGTAAAGCTGGAGTATTAAGTAGAATTCAGGTGTCATGTAATCATAAATGTTAGTGCAATTATATTATTGAGGTATTCTCCATCCCTCCTACTCTACCTATTTTCTAAATAGCCATCATTGATGTAGTTTATGATTATAAAAGGAATAGCAAGATTGAGTTAAAAAGCAAAATACCTCTTTAAACGAACATTATCTTTTGTCATTATATAGAGAGGACATGAATGGCTTTACCTGTCAGTTGCTTATACTACAAAATAGAAAAATACAAATATTATACACAGAAGATATCCACTCAAATTCAAAAGCGCAAAGAAAAAACTGCAAAGAGAATATAGATTTATCTTAACACAATTTATTCAAGCTTTAATGAGTTTGGAAAAATAAAAACAAATATGAATTTTCTTTGATATCTGCAATATGAAAGGGACATGGGCAAATATGAGGGAATTCAGCTACTTATATGATATAGCTGACTATTTTGAATTTTAAAAAACTAATTTGTTTTGAGAATATCCTACTTGAATAGAGAAATCTTTGCATTTTGGGAAGGGAAAAAGATTATTTCTTTTCAGATAATCCACCTTGTACCAATATAAAAAGCTGCCAATGCAAATATTTTCAGGGACAACATCTGTGTAGAATACGTCGTGAGCAAGCGAAAGTTTCTCTCGCCTCCTCCGAGTCCCTGGAGATCTCACCCAAAGAGAATGCGAATAGAGTTTTCCATTTTGTTTCACATTAGGGTCTCCTGAGAGGCAAAGGACTGGAAAACACTATAGCCAAAATACCCAAAGCATGATTCAATCTGATGTCTTAGTAAAGGAAATGTACACTCCAAGCTTTTTTTTTTCTCCCAATTCACCATTTGCTCCAAACGATAAAATCACAGCCTCAACGAAAATCACACCTTAAAAAAATTGTTTGTGTTGGCTGTTCTCTTAGAGAAGTTGAGTTTTCCTGGAAAGTTAACATTCTTGTCAGAGAGGAAATAAAAATAAATGTGGCACAGGCAAAGATGACATTTGAATCCAAACAAAAGTTTGCCTTTTGCTTTTTTTTTTTTCTTTCACCCCTTATCATACAAACTGATGTGCTAAGAAAAACAGTCCCAATTTAGCTTTCCATAAGCCCTTTGGAGTAGTTCACATATATAGTCTCTCATAGGAAGGTTCGGTTGCAAATTTTTGTCAAAAGGGAAAAAATATGCCATGTGGAAACCGTGTATTGGTTAGCGGAAATGGATCAACAGAGAGGCCACAGGGGGAAAAGTGCCAGTTGCGAATTCATAGAATGAGTCAGTGTTTTAGACAAGGGAAAACTGAAGTATATCTCATGAGCTGAAACCACCTCCAGGCTGACAAACTTTTGCCAGAACTTATAAACAGTGTGTGATACATTAGGTTCAGGATCCCATTGAAAGCAACATTGTCAATCCTCATCCAATTAGTAGTTCCAAACTGCTCATCCCAGACCCACCTTGAATTTACCCTGGAACTGGGCAAATGTTCACTCTCACTAAGGGTAGTGACACTGAGCACTCCAGAATGAAGAAAGAACTATGCAGACAGACGGAGAGAGGAATCTTTGCTGTTCTCAGTGTCAAATTCTGAGCAGCGCCCCCTCTCTGCTGGATTCCTATAATGACCTCAATAATTTGTCTCTAGGGTCAGTCCTGCCTCACTCTCATTCACGGTCCACAATATAACATCTCAATCTTATGCTTAAGCTCTTCAATTATTCTTCACTGACCTCAGGATGAAATCCAAACTCCTACCATGAGGTTGTTCAAGGCATAGTGCCTGTCTTTTAGACCAGCGGTCTCCAACCTTTTGGCACCAGGGATCAGCTTCATGGGAGAAATTTTTTTTCACAGACTGGGGTTGGGGATTGTTTGGGAATGAAACTGTTCCACCTCGGATCATGAGGCATTACTTAGATTCTCATACGGAGCATGTAACGTAGATCCCTCACATGCCAGTTCACAGTAGGGTCCGTGGTTCTTATGAGAATGTAATGCCTCTGCTGACCTGACAGGAGGTGGAGCTCAGGTGGTAATTCTAGCTTACCTGCTGCTCACCTCCTGCCATGCAGCCCTGTTCGTAAGAGGCCATGGACCAACACCAGTCCGCAGCCCGGGGGTTGGGAATCCCTATTCTAGACCCTTCTCTCTACAAGCTCAAACTCTAAGTACTAGCCAGGTTGGTGGTTTTAAATCTCCCGATCTTTGTATTTGGCAGCTGACTCTTCAGCCTGGAACACTCTTATCCTACATCTCAACTCCACCTTTGACTCATTACTGGGTAACTTTAATTGGTTCCTACTACATCTCATGCTTACTGTTATTTTGACACAACAGATTGAAGTAAGTTGCTCAATCTTTTCTTGCATTAGAAAGATGACTAGTCCCTAAGGACTACCTAGCACAGTCTCTGGTACAACGGAGACTGAAAAAAAATATATCTATATATTGAATGAACAAATGACTGAAAAATAATTCACCAACCAGCTTCTTAGTTAACATCAAATTGTCACTAAAGCATTCAGTATATTAAAATCCAAATATAAGCAACCTTGCTAAATTAGGGGTAATTATCATAGTGTCCTAGGGCTTAATAAGCATTCAATAAACGTTAATAACTACCATTATTGTTTACATTATAAAAACATTTTTGTTTCAAAAAATCATTCACAACTGTTTTCTTTTCACTGAAAACTCATATAAAGATTTTTACTTAACAGCTTGTTAAAATAAATATAGTTTGATGTATACACAGTTCTTTTAAAAGTGGTTTAAAGACAAGAGGACTCCCAGTTAATAAATCATATGATTACATATTAATACTATTGTAACAAAAAGGAATGACCAGTAAAAATAAGTCACTTGTAATTCTATTTCTTTTAAAAAAATAAATTTTAGGACGAAAGGCAGTCATGAAAAACCCTGAATGCTCCACAAATAACTGAAATATTCCGAGTGGTAAACATACACGTGACTCGTGTGTCATTTCAATAAAAGTGCCTAGAGGGCGCTGATTTGCCATGTTTCTATGGATCTGTGTAGCACAGAAAGCACATGTGTAGGTATAACTTGTGAGTAAGCACTATTTACTCTACAAATAAATTACTATGTAGCTTACATTGTTAGGGTCGCATGATAGCCCTATAGCTTAAAAGACTGAAATAACCATGCATTTATCTTGTCACTACAGGTACTTACAGTGTAATTACAAGGTCAACAGTTACTGTGTAATTATGTAGTTTCAACATTGTGGTTCTCAAACAACAAAAAAAAGTACACTGTTCTCCCAGTACCTGCTGAGAACCCCTTTCCCTACTTCGCCATCCCCACTTGCAAAATTTAAATAGCTTCAATGACATTTTCAAAGGAAAACAAATCAAAGTATCTTTATTGGAATAATAGCTATCTTATAATTATTAAAGACCTCAGACATCTTCTGGTCCAATGCCTTAATTTTCTTGGGAGGATTTATTTTAAATTTTTCACATGGAATTATATGTAATTTAGAAAGTAACTCAAGATAAAAGGTAACACAAATAGGCATTTATTTAGCAGCAATACTTTTTAATGGTTGTTCATTGTGTAGAGTAATGAGATGTGGCACATTTTTGAAAGGGTGAATTTCCTGATTTAATGAAATCAGAACAAAATAATACTAAATTATAACTTATCACATCCATAAAGTTTTGTTCTTCTCCAGTTCAGATTCTGAATTTATTTCTGTGTGTTTGCTTAATATTGACATCACACTGCATATAATTTTGTGGTTAGTTGTGTGTATGTGCGGTGTGACCAAATCTCTTACACATTTCTCTTCCAATGTATGGTGACTCTGAAATCATGAGTTTCATTTAAACCTTATAACTAAAACCCTTCAAATTCTTTCCCCTCCTTTATTCAGAGAAGCAGAAGGACACTGCTTTGATAGTCAATATTTGAACAACTCATTCCAAATTTATTGTAGGTTACTATCATACGGAGAATAATAAAGAATTTTTTTAATTACTTTAGCTCATAAAAATGGGCTGATAGATATTCCATCAATGTTATGATTCCCTTGGATGGAGAAATGCTAAATGCTAACCCAAACAGATTTTAAAACCATAATTACTTGGTAAACAGGGGAAACATAGCCAAATAATTATTCATGAGTACAGATTAAATTCATCTAGATTTTTTTTGAAAATTTCTTATTGAATTCTATCTCTGGCAAAGCCACTGAGCATAGCAATATCAGAGTGGCATTACTTCTTCAATATGTTTTACACAAAAAGAGCAAGCTGTGTACAGGTTTTTTGTTTGTTTGTTTTTGCTATAGGGCCTTTCTTCTGTCTCTCTCTAGTGATGAAGCACAGATAAGTTACCCAACATTAGTGTGTGTAAATCATTTCAAAAGGGGCACTTGTTCCCTGATGTAGTAGTTCTCTGAAAAGCAAAAACAAGGCAATCCTACAAGAAACATCATCACACAACCACCACACAACTGGTTTTCACAATTAAAGACTTACTATGATAACAGTCACCAGCCTGAAAACCCTACTCTATTAAGACAAACAGGCAAAGGTTCTCTTCAAAAAGAATCTCAGGATAGGAGGTTTTTGAAATCTCAAAAGAAAACATAAACTAGCCTCTCTCTTGACACCTAATAAAACCAAGAAGCTGACTCAAATAGTTACAAGATTTATCTCCTAATACCTGCCTTTAATTGATTTACATATAAAAGTCTTCTTTTCCATAGTTCCAAGACCAATTTGGAACTTTCTTTCTAATTCTCACATTATAAATTAAGAAAGCAAAATAAACCATCTCTAGGACATACCAGAGGTTATCAATTTGGAACTTTCTTTGTAATTCTCACATTATAAATTAAGAAAGCAAAATAAACCATCTCTAGGACATACCAGAGGTTGAGTAATGCAAGGTACAGATGATTACTTTGCTTTTATGTTAAAAACAAAATGATTACATGGACACCAAGCAGTGTAGAAAAGCTGAAAAGGAATCCAGGAAAGGGATGAAGGTCAGAGATGACTTTAGCTTCATCTGTGATTTTTCAGTATTACTTGTAAGAAGAATATTCAGATATTAAATGTAATATGAAATTAAGAAAGTACAAAAGAGAAACAACAAGTGGTAATAAAGCATACATAAATAAAAACAAGTATTTCTCCATTAGTTTGAAGCAGCTTTCCTGTTTGGTGGTAAGAGGTCTACTGATAGTTTGTTAGAAATCAAAGGACATTTGCAGGGACATGGATGAAGCTGGAAGCCATCATCCTCAGCAAACTAACACAGGAACAGAAACCAAACAGTGCATGTTCTCACTCCTAAGTGGGAGGTGAACAATGAGAACACATGGACACAGGGAGGGGAACATCACACACCAGGGCCTGTCGGGGGGTGGGGGGCTAAGGGAGGGAGAGCATTAGGACAAATACCTAACGCATACAGGGCTTAAAACCTAGATGATGGGTTGATGGGTGCAGCAAACCACCATGGCACATGGATACCTATGTAACGAACCTGGATGTTCTCCACATGTATCCCAGAACTTAAAGTATAATAAATAAATTTTAAAATAGAAATGAAAGGACAGAGAAAAGAGCACACTTCAGCCTGCTTGGTAGAGAGATGCATGGAGAAAACTGTAAGTGGAGACACTCACACTGACCTTGTGGTTGCTGGTAGTGAGAAAATGTATTTTATTAGTAGTGTACTAACCCATAGAACCTGACCAATAAATGATTCACACTGTGTTTATTCCACATTTTAAGTAGGCACGCATTTCAACGACTGTTCCCGTTCCATTTTTGGATGGTAATTTTCAGTAAGTAAAAAGCACTGTACCTTTAAGTTTTAAATATAAAAAATGACACTGATTAACCTTTAAAATGGTGCCATTTAATCAAAGCAAGTAGATCTTTAATGGGTTTTAAATGGACTAATAAATCACAGGCTTTTTTTTTCCAACATGGAAATAAACGAAATATTTGGGGGAAAAAATCCCATTACATCTCTGAGAGTGTTTGTGTGAGTGGGTATGGGCAGGAGGAGAGGTGAGAGACGTCCACACAGAGTTATTTTCCACATAACTGTGATTTGGAAGGTAACCACAGTACCTTTTTTTTCCCGTGAGTTCTTAATTTGTTAACTTCTTGCTCTGTGTACTTGAAAGCAAGACAGTAAGTGGCTATATCAGTATGTTTTCAGGAATCTTGACAAATTTTGTGACTGGAACTAAGAAACATAGTGGAGCCTCATGTAGAAGGCAATTGATCTATCTCTCTAGGAGAAACTAATCAGAGAAAATGAGTATGTTTTACTCTTTCCACGCTTCCCTCTGACATTACTAATTCTCCTCAGGTACAAATGAAGAAGCAAGCAACCCTCAATCTCGTAAAGTGCAGATTGGACTCCCTATGTTCAGAGCTCAGTGTCTGAGTGAATAACCCGTTGGTTTGCTTCCAAATGCAGCATTCTCTATGCTTCCCAAGGATGGGCAGGCCCATCTTAGCACTGGAATACATCCTCTGCCTCCCCTAGAGTTGCTTAATGCAAACCAGTTGAGTGAATAAACTGGATAAAAAGTGACAGCTTGATAATGATAGACTAGCTGTGCTTTTCCTTGAAACTATGTACAGAGTTAAGCATGGGAGAACATGATGCCACTCATAAGAAATTGATGCTTAACTCTAAATAGCCATCACAGGACTAGCTGAGGAAGGTGCCAGGGCAGGGCTGCAAGGTGAAGGAGAGAGAAGAGGGAATGGAGAGGAGCTGCACCTGCAGAAGAGAATTTAAAAATCAGGTAGAGGATAGGAATGGAAGGGCCCTTCAGCCAGCCCTTACTGACAGCCAGCATTTATGAACACTTAGAATGTACTAGGTACTAAATGGAGTGTTTTACAGACACCATCTCATTTAATTTATATGGCTCAAGAATGGTGTTTAGGTGATTAATGTCATGATTTTACAGATAAGGAAACTGAAGAACAGTGAGATAATAAAATTTGTCCCAGTACACATAGATAGCTAATAAGTCCGGAATTTAGATTCAGAATAATACAGTTTTGGAGGAAACACCATCTCCCTTCTTCCCCACCAAATAAGTCCATACCCATGGTATCCTCCTCTTCTTCTTCCTTGTCAAATGCAGGCTTGCATCTGTGCTGTTGATCACTTTCATCCCAGAACTTTATCCTTTAATTATGCCCCCTCATCTCTAGGTCCAGTCTCTCCATTCTAGTGTTCTCTTCCCCATCAGCTTCTGAAAGTGCTCAAATCTACACTCCCTCCTCAAACCTATTCCTTGCTCCCTCCATTTTCTCTGGACACCATCTCTTCAAGCTGGAAGAGTTGTCCACACTCGGTTTTGCCTAACTTCTCTCTTGCTGCTGCAATAAGTATCTGCACAAGCATTCCAAAAACTGCTTCTGTCAAAGTCACTTATATTTTACTAATAGACAAAGCAAATGGATCCTTTTCAGAACTCATCTTCCTGTGGCTTGAGTCTTCTGGCTCTAGTGCCCACCTGTTGAAACATTACACTCTTGTCCTCGGAAATATGAGCCCCGCTGGTTCTCCATTCCTTAGCAGGCTTCTACACCAGTGGCTCTTCCTTTATGTGCCTGAGACATATTGGTGTCACTCAGTGGTCTACCTGTGTCATTATTTTCTGCTAACTCTCTATGTGATCTCAGATGGCCACAATCTCTCATGGTCTTAAACAACATTGGACACCCTGATGGGTTCTTAACCTGGATTGCTAACCCATATTTCTCATCTGAACACTGGAGCTGCATATTTCATTGAGTTTTGGACACAATGACCACATAGATGCATGCTGTAACCTACACTTAACATATTAAAAACTGAACACATTGTGTTCTTAACATTTTTTTCCTCCGCAAAGTCACTTTTCGTCTTCACACCATTCATATAAGTCAAGATGCTGGAGCCATCATACTTGATACTTCAATCTCCCTGACAGTATTTTTCCTTTGTTCCTCTCCTAAATAGCTCCTCAATCTGCCAGATTCTCTCTAATACACCATCTTACTTAGTCACAGTGCGGGCACTTGCCACTTTTGACTGGGCTGATCAGATAGCCTATGTCTTCTGTCTGCCAGTCTCATGCCTGCCTTTTCTAATGAACCGTCTTCACTGTCCTTAGAACAGTCTTTCCTTCCTTCCTTCCTTCCTTCCTTCCTTCCTTCCTTCCTTCCTTCTGTCCTTACTATTTATTTGAGATGCAGTCTCGCTCTGTCACCAGGCTGGAGTGCAGTGGCGCGATCTCGGCTCACTGCAACCTCTACCTCCTGGGTTCAAGCGATTCTCCTGCCTCAGCCTCCCGAGTAGCTGGGACTACAGGTGTGTGCCACCATACCCAGCTAATTTTTGTATTTTTAGTAGAGACGGTTTCACCATGTTGGCCAGGATGGTCTCGATCACTTGACCTTGTGATCCGCCCACCTCGGATCACGCCTCGGCCTCCCAAAGTGCTGGGATTACAGGCGTGAGCCACCGCGCCCGGCTTAGAACAGTATTTCTAAAACACAAATCAGATAATGCTTTACATCTGCATAAACCCTTCACTGTCTTCCCACTGCCAATATCTTTAGCTAGACTATGTAAAATTCGTCCACCACTTTCCTCTTCAGCTCTGTCTCTCAACACTTGCCCCACCATTTCCAGGTCTCTCACACAATTAGGTATCCCGAGCATGATGCACTTTTTCACATCTCTGGGTATCTGCACACCCAATTTTTATTTTTTCACCTTAAATGCTCTTTCTTGCCAATAAAACATCTATTTTCTCTTCAACACCCCACACACATATAAATTACCTCCTCCTTGAAACAGTTTTTGGTCTTTCCCCGACAGAAATAAACATTCCTTTCTTTGACTGTATCTGCAAATTGCATGTTGATTTTAGCATTTACACTTTATACCATAATTTTATCTTTATACAAGTCTGTCTACCTCACAAAACTTTGAAATAAAAAGCTATCTTTTCAATCATTTTGTTACTTCCAGTACCTATCATAGGGCTTACCACGCAGTAGGTGCTTCATAAACGATTGTTGAGCTAAACTAGACACTGGATAAAACCTTTTGTTTTAAGCTTAAGCAAATGAACAGGTAACTTCAATTATCTAAAAAATAATAATCAGAATGACATAGAAGCAATTTAGCCACAGAACAAATTTATTTTGGAGATCAATAAATTAGAAGTCAGGAATGTATCGTTCCAGAGACTGTGGTGTCACTGGCCAACTGGAAGTCCTTGGACAAGTCCTTTATCTCTGCTGGGTCTAAGCATCCCATCTGGAAAGTGAGGTAAACAAGATAATCCCTAAAATCTCTTTAGCTTTCAATCATCTACTTTGTTCCGAGGTCATATCTGACCATACAGGCTAACATTCAAAAATAAGGATGAATCTGACTAAACAATTGACCTACCGAAAGAAAAATCCTATTTGTTGTAAATAACCAGAGATATAAGTAGAAAGGCATAACAAATTGCTTCCAGCCATCTTCCAAAAAGTATTTCTATAACTGAATCTTTTCATACTTAGCTCTAGAAAAACTCCTCAAAACTGTCTTGGAAAACAGTCATTTGGCTAGGAAATGTATGTCTTTATAGACACATCAAAGGTATCTCTCTATCTTTTCCCACACATTTTTGAATCAAGTACACAATCATATTATAATTCGTGGTTCTAAGTTTCCCCCCAAAATATCAAATTCTTCTTTGATTCCACACATCCTGAATATTTATATACCTTTCAAGTCAATGTAGTTTATTGAAGAAAGAACATAGTTCAGTCACGTCTATTAAATATTAAGTATTTTGCTGCAGAAGGAGATACAGGTACACAGCTGTGTGATCAAAACCTCCAGAGATACAAACGTGATGCTACTTCCCTCTCCTTTTGGTTGCAAATGAGGAAAAAACTGTGCAAAAAGAAAACTTGCTTAAATAACGTGGTGAGCAATAAGGTGGTGTTAAAATGAAATGTGTTTGAAGTTGCATATTACATCGAAAGGAACACTACTATAATTCATAGTGATTAATGTTAATGTCAAAAATATTAAAGAAGTAATAATGATTTGTATCTTCATGTAATGGGCTACCCTTTCTTTGATCTTTTATTCCCTTTGATCAAGGAAATTAACGGGTAATAAATTTCAAACCAATAAAGATGAATTCATTCTCCCCCAGCACATTGGTCAGCCTGTGGGAATAACTTCCACAGGAGGTCAGACAGACAAATGCTAAGGCTGGGGTTAAAAAGGGATCAGATAATTTTATGACCATTAATAACATTTCCCTTGCTGCAAGCTCACACACACATAAGGGGAATCCAGTCATCCTTTTGGGCTCAGACTAATTACCTTCTGGGTGACAAAGAGACTGCTAGGCCAGCACACAGCATGGACCACTTGTGCCCTTTTGGAGGGGGGAGGTTTGCTTCCATTTCAGTGAAGAACAAAGTCAGCTAAAGACTCTTACTTAGAGGCCCTAAAACCTGAAAAGAATATGGTACTTCTTTCGTTTGTAATTTTTTAAAAGAACCAAAATACAAAATCATAAATGCATAATTTCATGCATGTGCTGAAATTAAAATGGATTTTGTCCCCTAGATTTTCTTTTTGGTTAAAAAATTCAAGACTCTTTTATTAAAGCTAAATTGTTCACAACATTTTGATGTTTCTGCTTTCCTAGGACTCTGGACACTTCACAGTTTGCCTATTAGGTAATTGGACACTTCGTGGTCAGGGTGAAGACGAATGGTGCTCATAGTCAAGGGAATCAACATATGCAGGGTTCCCTGGCTCAAGTCCAGAGGAGAGTAGCAGAATCTGTTTCAGGAACTCTGCTTCTCTAAGCATTGGTAGTAGCTGTGGATATCTGAGACCTTTAGTTAGTGCTGGTTGCGTAAATTACGGCCTGTGGAGGGAATCTTCTCTATCAAAGGTATTACCTGTGACATTCCTTAGGTATTATTTCTATACCTCTAAAGAGATCCATAGCTGCATCCATATTACTGTGTAGTACCTGGAAAGTGTTGAATACAACCAGGGAAAGGATTCAGTAAACACTGTATGTCACAACTTGAATGCCAATGGCTAAGGCAATGCCTAAGGTTTACGTGATTTATCACCTGCATACATGTGGCCCTTAGTTTATTGTATTCTGCTCCCTTTTCAGCAAACATCTGATGTGTCAAGGAAAAATGAATGAACCTTATTGGTATCTAGTAACCTAAGGGCCATTCAAAACTGACCACCATATTGATAAATAATTCTCTTCACAGCTATTAACAGCAGGATCTCACGATTCTCTTAATAGGCTTATGATATACAGACACAATTTACTTCCATAAAACTGCAGGAGTATAGTTCTAGTTGGCTCTGCTGTGAGAAAATTCCAGATCATCAATAAATTATTTCAAAGATTCATTAAAGCTCAATGTATGCATAGACTTCTAACGGCAGTAAAACAAAATTAATAAGTGGGGAAAATATTATATATATGTTTAGAATTTATAAAATACAGTGTATGGAAATATATTTTTCCCTTTGCATGGTAATTCATTTAGACCTCTCCAAAGAAGAATAGCTGTTGAAAAAGAAGGGTTTTTTTCAAAACCAGATTCAGACATGAGGTCCATAAGTGACGAATAGGTATTCAAGGTCTCAAATAGCACTCTTAGGTATCTGCAAGTTTGTCATCTCACAGGAACTCTGGAATGTCACCTCTTTTCTGCTAAGTCTTTGATTGGCTTCTGTGTTCCTGACCTAGTATCATGATTTGATTGCTGTTTACTATTTCAGTTTAGTGCTTAGACTTACAAGGCCACACAGCTCACCTGGGGACTTTATCGTCAGCCTTCTTTCAACCCATTTAAAGACTGCCTCAATTGTTAACTTCAAATTCAAGATTTACATCAAGGTTTGCTTCTTCCGGGACAACAACTCCTTGGCCTTGTAGGTCTGAGCACTACACTGAAATTGTAAACAGCAATCAACTTGTGATACTAGGGTCAGGAACACCATTCCTAGAAAGTTTTGTTGTAAAGCAGAGCACAGAAATAGGGCATTAGCTAGATAGAAGTACAAGATGAGGAGATTTGATTTTTGATATAGTGAAAATAACAGCATGTTTGGAAATACTTATATTTACTTATATGAGTAAATGAACCTTACAAATCCTATTTCTGCTGCCAGACAGAAGGCTGTGTCTCTATGCAGACAGATACAAGCCTATTGTAAATACCAGAAACAGAAGATTATTTGAGTCTTAATTTGAGGACTAAGCCCCACAATGCAGCCATGTCTTCAAACATAACTCCTCTCAGAATGTATATTTGTGGAACATTAGCTAAGGAGGTGAACTCCTGTGCTTTTTTTTCTTTCTTCATTTACGATAATAAAAGATTAACTTATTTATTCTATACTCAAGGTACAAAAAATCCATTTCAGAACCTTTAGTTATTTTAGTTATAGTTGTAAGTTTGAAAAAAAAATACATCTTTAAAGTGAAACCAATGCTAACACTTATGTAAGGCTTCATATGTCATAGGTGCACAGGTGTTTTTGGTAGCACCCAATCAAAGTCTGATGTCACTGCAACATTTTTTTTTGTTAATTGACATTTGCATCTGCTACCACAACCAGAAAGGAAAGCAAAATATGACTATACAATTGCAGTATGAGCAGAGGCCACATTGGCCTCAGGTGAACAAATATGTTACCACTGGAACTATTTCTATGAGCATAGATGCCTAATCTGCAAATTACAATGCTAATATCAGAGGTATGATAGTCCAAGTTTCCTGGCCAGTGCGCCTTCGAGGACACCCTATCAATACCTAGAAACGTTGCACTGAGATTCTCTGCAGATTCTGCCCTAGGTCACTGCAAGAAATCCTGAGGTTATGAAATCCAAGAATCTCCCCAGTGCGGGGGTCTGTGCCAGCATATCTTGCATTGAGCCAGTCAGTCTTTGTCTGCTTGCAAACATCTGGAGATAGCAGCTCACTCTCACAGGAACACCCAGCTCCAGTGTTTAAAAACAGCTCTGAACATGTTAAAGTTGTAATTTAGGTTAGTGTATAATCTCCCTTCCTAGAATGCTTCTGGTTTGATTCGATGAAGACATACAGAATTAAATAGAGTCTTTCTCCCACAATATATAAAGATTGGCACCAAATTCTCTTTACATCTTTTATTTTACAAGCTAAATATGCCCCTTGCCCCTATATCTGTTCCTCAGTTGGCAAGGATCTCAGATGCTTCATCATCCTGTCACCTTCTCTTGATGTTTACATTTCTTACTGAATTTCTTTGCAGCCAAATTTGGGCTTCATTTCCAAAAACTACAAGAGATAAAAAGCAAATCTCAAATAAAAACTGAGTAAACCGAGTCCAAGGAGATTCCAAGCTGTTTCACTGAAAGAAAGTCTCATCACTGACTTTATATTCTTAATAATCTCTAAAAGCAAAGAGGTAAGTGTTAAGTTGAAAGAACGGAATTACACAGGTATAAGGTGAAAAGAAACTAGTCTTGGCCACTGCTCCTATTGGCCACAAGACCGTTCTTGTGGGGATGGCTATTTTCTGCCATTTAGGGAGAATCTAGCCTAACTCTAACTTTTCTAATCATTCTCAGATAAGAAAAGTCTTTAAATGACTTTTAGTTAACAAAAATGCTCTTGTTCAATAATTAAAATGTTCACTCCAAGATATTAATTTAAACAACTCCACAGTTCATTTAAAGTTAAATGATTACATCTCTCCTCCCTCAACCCTGCTTCAAGCCTACAATCCCTGGTCATAGAGGACAGTCGTGGTCCTCCGTATCTCAGTTTATTGTTTTACATTTCTCCCCTTCCTCTGTTCCCAGCTCTGTTGCCCTGGTTTCTGATGCTTCCAGGATTGCAGCAAGGAAGCAGAGAAGGTATAACAGATATAGGTTACAAAAGACCTCGTGTGACTAGCACTGATGCAACCTAGCCATGGAGTCCTTTGGTCACGGAAGATGTTTCATGACTGACTGTTCAAAGATTTTCTCCTGCGCCCTTTGCCATTATGAGGACTTCTCAACTGCAGATCCCATGAGGAAAGCCAATGTGTCTACTGACTGAAACTAAGAAGGTCCCTCAGTCTTCATCCCACAGACATCTCCAGTCTCTTTCTCCTGTACCTGTTCTGCCTTCCAGGAGGTCTCCTTTGGGAAAGGTTCTCCCACAAAGTGGGCAGAGAAAGCACATCGTTTCCTTCAGTGGAATGCGGAAGCATAGGCCATTCCTAAGCAGTCCCTCTCCTTTCTCCTACCCCTAGCCGTGTTGTCTCATCTTATATTCTTTGGAAGTGGGAGTGGGTCTTGAACCCTCTGTGCCTAAGAGACTGCAGGAGACCTGAGTCACTCTCTGAAGACTTACTCAAGGGACCAAGGTGACAGGCCCCTTCTTTGCCCCTTCACAAGTGCCTGTACCTCTTTCCAAGAAATGTCACTTTCCCTTTACGGTTCCTCTCTTTGCCTCTCTTGCCTCTGTTATAGGAAGGAGGTAAGTGGTCATCTTGGGGTGGCAAAAGCAGTTCCAGGCACTCCTTCTGCAAGTTTTACATGGTTGGGCTAGGACCCTGTGACAGAATGGAAGGAATTAGGGTCTGAGACAGAAAAGGAACAGAAAGAGGGTCCCAGTATAACTCTCTCTGTAGTAACAAAGTGAAAATAGCCAGCAACGAATCCACGTTGTTTTTATTTTTGGATATATTTGAACAAGTGTCTAAACAAAGAAGTTAAGAAACAAAAATCTCCAAATCATAGAACTTAGTGGAAACAACAGCAATAAACAGAAGTGATTTATAGGACCTGAGATCAGTTAAGAAAAATTTTCTCCTGAAATGATTACCTAAGTGCCTCCAGAAGTCAAATTACCATAACATAGCTTCAAGCTTGCTGCACAATGATATTGGAGTCCTGTTTTCCAAAAAATGAAAAATAGCAAGTTTATGAAGTGCTCAGTTAAAATCTTCCTCAAAATACAATGTGAAATGTCCTTGTCAGAACTGAGGAAAGCAATAAATCTTTACATTTATTCATTATGCACCCAATCTTCTTGTAATAGAAACTAAGGATTCACAAATTCTGGTTTCCAAGCCAAATTCAGATCAAAGGAGAGATAGTTTGTTGAAAATGGGATTGAGGATCCCAAAGCAAAGTAGAATTTAAATGGCAAAATATATTCGGTGTGGGAGGGTTTGCCAAGTCTCACTTAACACCTTCACTAACGATCTAGGCCAGAGAAATAACAAGTTAATGAAACCTACAGGTAATATTAAGTTAATGGGAAAGGCAAAAACTGGTAAGAGATCATAAGAAGTCTTTGGAGGTTAGAAAGAGAAGCAGGAAATAAAAAAGAATTTGAGAAGGTGAATGTTTAACAGGATAAGGCCCTTGGAAAGCAGGACAGCTAAAAGCAAATTCAACTGATTACGCAGACAACTATAATATCCCAGATTCAGTGCCACAGGAAAATAAACACCAACGTCATTTGGTTCTTCTTACTCAAAGATACAAAATAACAGGTAGGAGAAGGAAAACTTCATGAAAGGACGTCTCAATTCTGGGGAGGGGTGAGGGGAGTATTTGCATCTCAATAGAATATAGTAAGAATTCAAAACAAATATTGATATAATTTAAGAATCCACGATATAACTTAAGCAGAGAAGAAATTAGTATTACATAATTTAATGTGATAATTGTTGTATTGGGTGACAAAGTAGAAAAGCCAAGATTTTGAAGAGGATAATTTATAAGTAAGCTGTATTGGAAATGTGAAACAATTATTTAAAACAAAACCAATGAGGCACAATAAACAAGAAATATAGCCTGAAATAGCGTGGTCCTCACCTACCTGTTGAGCTTCATCTCTTTCCAAATTTATTTATGTGATCCAGCCACTGGCTTTTTTTCTGATCCTTAAAACAAACCTCCAAGCTGGACCCCGTCTCAGGGCCCTGGCACTTGCTTTTCTCTTGGCCTAGAATTCCTCCTCCCAGACTTTCCCCAGGCTGGTGTCAGGTAAATGTGTGATTCTCAGAGAGCCTTCTGAATGATCATACCCAAAACTGATCTTCCTTTCAAGTCAATACCTCATTTTCAGCTTGTTTAACTTTCTTTGCAGGACTTGCCACTATCCTATTATCTGGCCAGATGCAGTGGCTCATGCCTGTAAACCCAGCACTTTGGGAGGCAGAGGCAGGTGGATCACCTGAGGTCAGGAGTTTGAGACCAGCCTCGTCAACATGGTGAAAGCCCATCTCTACTAATAATACAAAAATTATCTGGGCGTGGTGGCAGGTGCCTGTAATCCCAGCTACAGGGGAGACTGAGGCACGAGACTCGCTTGAACCCGGGAGGCGGCAGAGGTTCCAGTGAGCCAAGATAGTGCCACTGCACTCCAGCCTAGGTGACAGAGTGAAACTGTGTCTTAAATAAATAAAAATAAAACTATCATCAATTCATCATGTGCTTGCTGGCATAATCTCTGTCTCCCCTTTTCCCACTTTGAATACAAGCCCTGCGAAGGCAGGCTTCTTTTCTCCTTCGCTATTGTATCCTGAGCTTCAATAACAGCATTTGTCATCTCTCAATATATGGTCACTGATTAAACAAATATGTATAACCTGACCAACAGATAGGAGACTGTGAAAATACTATCAAGAATAGAAGAAAGTTGAGGTAACATAGAAAATGGTGATGAACGACATCATTGTCAGTGGCTAACATCAAATAATCTGAATTTAGATTAAAGTTTTAAATAAGCAGATGCACTAAAACATGTTCTTCAGAGTGGTTAAACTTGCCAACTCTGTAATTACACATTTGGTCATATTAGTCCTCGAATTATGAAATTTCGAGGATCACTCATCTAATAGCATCAAACCAATGTGTATATTGACTCATGAAAATTCATATGAAGTTAACTACCATGTGGTTGCTTCCAGTTTTCTTTTTTTTTTCCAATAGAGTGTAATTAATGTGTGCAACCTAATGAAATATGCTGCAATTAAAGAACTACTATGCATAGTAATATCTCTGCTTGTTTCAAATAAAATACAGTCTGTGGTGACATTTCAGGAATGGAAAGTATGAAAAGCAAAATTAAATTGTTATTTGATTTCAAATTGCAGCTGGGTACCTGAATGCAAAGACTGTCTATGAAAAACTGATTGTTTAATGTACCCCCTCAACCTATCTTAAAAACATTGTTATATGTGTGTAGGTTTGTTCTTTACTCATAAGGAAATACAGCTTGGCCCACAAACCAAGAAATACTAAAGCACTTTCATTTGTAACAAAAAACCACCAACACAAATGCCCGGCATCTTAGAAGAGTACTAATCCTCACTGTAGCTGAGAATTTCTGGGACTAGGGCTTCAAATCAAGTGAAGTAGGGTAACCCACCCATGACTTTGAGCCTCAAAGAGACTCGGAAATTGTCGACACAGATAGAGTCTCTTGGAAAAACCAATTGGAGGAAAATAATAATAACAATTCACACCAATTTTCCTGAACCACTTTAAAATATTTTCTTTTTTTTTTTTTTTTTTTTTTTTGAGACGGAGTCTCGCTCTGTCGCCCAGGCTGGAGTGCAGTGGCGGGATCTCGGCTCACTGCAAGCTCCGCCTCTCGGGTTCACGCTATTCTCCTGCCTCAGCCTCCCGAGTAGCTGGGACTACAGGCGCCCGCCACCACGCCCGGCTAATTTTTTGTATTTTTAGTAGAGACGGGGTTTCACCGTTTTAGCCGGGATGGTCTCGATCTCCTGACCTCGTGATCCACCCGCCTCGGCCTCCCAAAGTGCTGGGATTACAGGCGTGAGCCACCGCGCCCGGCCAAAATAATTTCACATGTACACCTATTTTTCTCTTAGCTATCTTTTGTTACTGACCATTGGAAGGAGTACAATATTGGGATACCAATGCAGGACAATGAATTAGTTTATCATCTCATTCTAACATGTATAAGCGAATCTATCATGCCTCAAGCCCGTACATGCTATACTCTGATATAGAGCATTATACCAAAGGGCTAGTCTTAGTTGTAGGCAAACAACTATTTGCATTATTATCTTGAGGAGTTAGAAAAATTAAGGTACATTTATGGTCAGAAAGATGGGTGTTTCCTTCAGAATACACAAGAAAAATATTTCATCCAAAAGATTTTCTTCTTATATCTTTAAATACTTGTTTTAAAGTGGGAAAAATAAAAAATCTCTGGGTTCTACAACATGATATAAGAATTTTATGTGCAGCATTAGTATTTCTTGAGAATCTGAATACCATACTCCACCTCCCCTAAAAAATTTATTGAGTCACACATGTTGAATGACAGTTAGGTGTTGACAGTGTGTCTACTTACATTTGCTAAAAACAAAAATGCTTTCTGTAATGAATATCAATGTTACTCAGGGTAATACGGTTAAGTTACTTATGTTGATATGCTTACCTACTTTCAAATGATCCCACTGTAAAAGTTTCATTGTCATCTCTCTTCAGCATTAGGAACAAAAATTCTGTAATATATTTTCATATAAAAGATGGGAAGCGACTGTACAAAATTACTATAAAATAAACTGAAACTGACTAGCTGGCTCTCATATTTTTAAAATGCATGTTCAACAAAAAGAAATATCAAGCAAAATTGCCAACAAATCTTTCAAAGGCCACTCATCAGTGCTAAAGACCACAATCAGCTTGTCATAATTAACTTCATAACTAAGGAAGATAAACGTAAGCAACAGCACACAGCCCAAATCACAGCTTGAGAAATGAAATTGAAATGGCTAAAAACTGAACTTGAGCCAAACTGCTTTATCCTAGTCACCTTGTTTCATAAATCAAGTAGAAGAATATCTGTACATCAGCAATGTTGTATATTAGTTCAGTTTTATTGATGTGAATCGCATTGTTTTACGAAGTGAACTTTCTCCAAAAAATAGCACGAATAAAGGGATGTGAATTATAGATGTGCATCATCACAATATACTATTGACTCTAACTTTAATGCTGTTTCTGCAGATATTACTAACCTGCATCTTGTCCTTTTGATCAAACACTTGTCTGTCCAGGATGTGACATGGAGAAAATTATTCCAGCAAACCTATGGGCTTTCTGCTTTTTAACTTCTGTCTCTCACTGACGTTTTCCCATTGCCCTACCTACATGAACCTACTTGGTATTGCGTCCAATAATTACACCTTAATTTTTGAGCTGAAAAAGAAAGTCATTCAGGTGAGAATTTTATCTGTGGGAACCTTGTGTTTACCACAGAGAAACTTTAAAATATATATATAAGATGGCAAGAATAAAGGTGCCAGGAATAAAGGTGACAAAATCCTTCAGCTGAGTTAGAAATAAGGTATGTAAATAGCTCTGTAATACCCCCACATTTTCTAAAAATATCAAATGCAAAAAGAAAAACAAGAATATAGTAACCACATTTTCAATGTAGTTGGAACTTGCTGCCTTGGGGTGAGGAAAAAGTAGGGGGAAAGGAGAGGAATCCAATTCCAATTTTCATTGCACGATTCCCATACGTATCTATCAGAATAGTTCTCTTGGCCAAGTATTTATTAAAAATCCTCACCCAGTCTGCTTATAAACAATTTGAAAACTCACACATTACAATATTCATAGCTGTGTTCAAGAAGTGACCTTCCGAGCTGACTTTATTGTGAACTATAAAAAGTGCTAGCTAATAAAACACAAGGGCATTTCGTTGGTTTCCAAGATTTTACTTTCTAGGTTTCTCACCCCCTTCAAAAATCCCTCCTACCAGTGATCAAAACTGTTTTGTGACTCACCCTTGACTATACAGAAACCCAAAAGCAGAGGCAGCAAAAAACATGTATCCCACTGAATCGTAAGGAGAGCATTCAATGCAAATTTTAAGGACAGATTTGCAGATTGTACCACTGCTCTCTGTTGTGGCTTATTTGCTGTTTAATTACATGCATGCAAATTTTTTGAGGTTTTACCCTTGAGTATGTATTCTACGAAAGCTCATAAAATTCTTGAAATTAGCTATACTTGTAATCTTATAATATTCCCCAGACTGTGAGTAAAATTGTACTTATTCACTTAAAATTAATATCCTTTTCTGGGTTCTCTGTGGAATTCCGAAAAAACATTAGCCGCAAAGTTCACAGACCTAGGTGTTTTAATCCAGCAGTCATGGCTGTCTACCTTCTAACTATGGCAAAACATGATTAGAAAATGTCCTGCTGCTCAGAGCCTCAACCTATGAAATGAATTTGCACAGAGGTCATTAAGTAGTAAAAAAACAAAAGCAATTCTCAAGGCTTTTAAAAAACTCAAATAGGCTGGGGGCAGTGGCTCAAACCTGTAATCCCACATTTTGGGAGGCCAAGGTGGGCAGATCACCTGAGCTCGGGAGTTCGAGACCAGCCCGACTGATATGGAGAAACCCCGTCTCTACTAAAAATACAAAAATTAGCCGGGCGTGGTAGCGCATGCCTGTAATCCCAGCTACTCGGGAGGCTGAGGCAGGAGAATCGCTTGAACCCAGGAGGCGGGGATTGCAGTGAGCCGAGATGGCACCATTGCACTCCAGCTTGGGCAACAAGAACAAAACTCCATCTCAAAAAAAACCTCAAATATGCAACAGAATACAAGGAAATATGTGAGGAAGAAACCTCTCCAATGTTAACAAGCCATTCATTTTGCTCTTGTTATAATTGTAATTATGTACGTCCATGAAGTTGTCCTATTTCAGAACCAACTACTGACTCAAGCACTCAGATGACTGCGTTTACTAACTTAAGTGGTGTTATGTGGGAATCCAGGCTCAGGGAGGCCATTTCTTAAAAATCTGGATTAAAAAATAATATGAAACTTCCAACATTAAAATTCTCTGTAGCTTTGGTTGAAATGAAAACTGGCCTAGATTGGATATTGCACTGAAAAACAAATACCCTCTGGCACGTCTAATGAATGTTCCCATGAAGTGGATTTCTCAATCCTAGACTTAAACACTATTTTGTAGAATGAGCCTTTTAGAAAATCTTGCCTTTTGTCTGGATCTCAGTTTTCCCACATTTAAAGGGAAGTTTGGATTGGCTTCCAAATGTCTTTCTGGGGAACTGCTTCTCGGAAGACGCGGCTCACTTCTAAAAGGTTCGATTCCAGATCTACTGAATCAAATTGCCAGAGAAATGCCCAGGAAGCGGCATGCTCCGCAACTCCTTAGGTGATTCTGATGCAGAGCCCGCAGGTGCTTAGGCGCACCGCTACATGGACCTGGATGAAGGCCTTTCCGTTATAATACCCACCATCAGCCCAATGAGCCCTGCAGAAAGTGAGAGGGAGGAAGAGGTGGTAAATAACAGGGGTGTCTGGCAGGCATCAGCAGTAATTACAGGTAGGAAAAGGGTGTCAGGTCTTCCTACAAAGAAGCTCCTTCCCTTTTCTTCTTGGGACTCTCCCACCCCCTGCTGGTAGGACCCAGCATTTCTCATTTCCTTGCTCTGCTCGCGTTACTACAGGGACAGAAGCGAGGAGTAGAAAGGAAGATGTAAACACGGAGCTGGCTCCTGGAAGCGGGGAAGGAAGGAGAGATGTCAGAAGAAAGCAAGCAAGTGGAAGTTAAGAGGAAAAGAGCAAATCTGCATGGGGCACAGGTCACGCGCCAAGTATGTCTGTAGGACTAGGTAAGTAATGAAAAGTAAAGCTGGGTAAATAAAAAAAGAGAGAAAGCGCTGGGGGTAACGGGGCAGGAGCAGGCAGTCCACCTAAGGCGGCCACTGACCAACTGCAGTGATGTGGGCAAGGTGAGCCCAGGGCTGTTGTGGCTACCAATTTTTTCAAGAAAAGCCAGAAATTTCAAACTCAGAAATTTGGATTCTATTTTATTTTAAACTCCCAACATTTAAAAGTTTACAACGAAACATTTGAAACAAAAACTCCACATATCAAATCGGCCTGTAGTCTGCGTCTGTTGCCTAAGGAGAAGTGTGAGTGTTCAGAAGGTGGTCAGTGAAGAAGTAAAGAGCTCAGGAAGAAAAACGTGATACAGAACAGTAAAAAGGAATTGGTTTGCAGTGACCATTGAATAGAGGATGAGGACGTTGTCAGCGATTACCTAGGATGTTTGGTCGACCCCTGACGATCATGGATTTAATTTGTTTGTTTTTCAGAAATCACTGACTGCTTTTGTCAAAATCAGAAGAGTACTCATGTGGCTATTTGAAATTTTGTCCTGGTAAAGATCCCATGCATTGGCTCCAGGGCTTCCAGGAGTCAGGGACTCAGGTGGTTTGCAAGCAAGGCTCAGCCAGGAACCTCCTCACATCCACTTTATATTCCCTTACACAATTGGAATAAAATGTTTCCTTTGTTTTCACCCCTGCAAGATGATTGTGAAAATAATAAAGTAACATTCATTAAGGATCAAGTGTCAAGTGTGCAAGGTTGTGAGAACCATGCCAAAGCCCTGACCATGGCCCCTGGCACACAGCACTGGACAAACGTCAGCAATTATTAACATCTGTTGTCCCTGGCAACAGCCCCATGAGGAAGGGATTTTTATTCCAATTTTAGAGATGATGAAACCGAGATTAGCCTGATAAGTCACTTGCCAATATACTTAGAAAGCAATGGAGCCAGGTTTGGGAGGTTTTACTCACTAGTCTTAACTCCCAGTGCTGAAGGGAGATGTGAAGAGAAAGGGCAGGTGTCCACCACAGCACAGATGCTGAGCTGCTGCCCTTCCACCCTTGCACAATCTTTCAGACAAACTAAAGCATCAATTTCACCTTAACTATTGGCTCATTAGAGGCCAAAGGGGATCAACGAAAATTTTTAGTTGTCTTTATTACATTTGATGAAGAAAATGGTATTCTTGCTATGTTTAAGACCTTGAGAATAGTACAGGTCAAGGATCTGTACTATTAGATGGAATATCAGGGAAGAAGAAAGTACTTCAGCTCAGCTTCCTATACTGAAAATTATAATGCAACGGGAGATTTAGTCATCAGGAAATGAATCCTATGATTTCAAATACCCAGGATATATAAGCCATACAATTAAAATGACTTGGTTTGCTTGAAATAAAAAACTAAAATTAAGTACAGTGTTGTTTAACTGATCAAATTAGACTGCTGAGTTACAATTTTTCATGTCTTGCTATTAAGAAGTTTAATGCTTTTCAGAGCTTCAACGGTATTAGAAAACCTTAATAAAATGCAAACACATTAAAAAAAATTAGACCTGGAAGGGTCCTTATAAATAATTTCTTATAATTTCCTCCTCATCTAATAAGTTCGAAAATTTAGATCTAAAAAGAATGCAAACACAGGCCTCCAATCACATTGCCTCATTAGTGGCAGAGCTTCGACTGCTTGGGACAGGTGCTACTAACAACCTCATAGATGAAACCAATTTAGTGTCTTTAGTTACCTTACTGAGCGGACACATTGAATTGGATTTCATTTTCTAAAGAGAAAGTACATAAATGTGTATATATTTATATATGGCATACATAAATATGGCTATTTGATGTATGTTTTATATATTAATATCATTTACATATGCTGTATATTATTTGATATATCTAATATATTGTTTTTACATATTTTAAAAACATACTCCCACCTAAAAAATTCACAAAAGAAATTTGGTAAAGAAATATTAACCAAATATATAAAAATCAAAGTGATACATTTTTTCATGTAGATTGGCAAAGAATAAAAACATGATAAAACACACTGCTGGTAAAAACATGGGTAAATCAACATTAAATTACTATCTCTGTAAATATGTGTCAAAATATATAATGTATATGTATATCCTTAGATTCATTAATTCCAATACTAGGGATTCATTTCAAGAAAACAGAGAGTTGTCTAAAAATACCTAAATAAGGATGTTCATTTTTATGTGTCTTGTAAAAAATTACAAACAACTTAAATGTTATGGTGACAGAATAAATTCTAGCATATTATTCAATGACGTTCTTGGGCCACCATAAAAAATTATATTGCCCTTTATTCATGGGAATGATGGTAAGCTTCTAAAAGAGAAAAGGCAAAAAGAAGATGCTTAAAATATAAATGTGTCATCCCACCTACGTAACTTTTTTTTTTTTTTTTTTTTTTGAGATGGAATCTCACTCTGTTACCCAGGCTGGAGTACAGTGGTGCCATCTCAGCTCACCACAACCTCTGCCTCTAGGCTCAAGCGATTCTCCTTCCTCAGCCTCCAGAGTAGCCGGGATTACAGGTGTGCGCCACCAAGGCCCGGCTAATTTTTCTAGAGAAGGGGTTTCACCATGTTGGCCAGGCTGGTCTTCAACTCCTGACCTCAAATGATCCACCTGCCTCGGCCTCCCAAAATATTGGGGTTACAGGCATGAGCCACCGCACCCAGCCCACTTATGTAAAATTTTATATGGATATCTGAAACAATATGCACCAAAGTACTAATATTGCTAATCTTTGCCTGTAAGATTTTAGATGATATTTCATTCTTCTTTAAATGTTCCTGAATTATTTAAATCAAATTAAAATGATCTTGCATTATAATCAGGAAAAAGATCAATAAATATATTTCTAGTTTGAATTTTTTTCAAAATTAAAGTACTTTTTCTAAAAATAATACACGATGATCTATACCAATGGCATAATTTTCCAAATTTTCCAAAATAACATGTTACCATTTTTTAAAAGTTAGCAGTATTATCCTTATGATCCTAACATAATTTTAGATATAAACTAAATGCTAATAGATAAGCATTTCATGAGCTTTACCAGATGAAAGGATATTTGAATTCAAGTAGAAACTTCCTCAATATCTAGCTGGGCGAACTGGGCTCAACCAGTGAACCTTCCTTAGACCTCATTTCCTTCCTAAAGCATTAAATGAGAAACTTTAGCTTAATGACCTCTGAAAATATTTTTATTTCAAAAAACCAAAAGTAACTCTCAAAACTTCAAAATGTGAAATAATTCCTTAGTAATTTACATCCTCTGAAAATATCCCCCAACCCATCCTATGAATACAACTCTAGGTTACAAAGGATAAAATCATATGTCAAAGTTTCTCAACTTGGTTACGGAAATGTGAAATTCTTCCATAAGTCCTTGAAGAGTCTCTTAAGAACTAAACAAAATATACATTCCTATTCTGGGGTCTTACTCCAACGATAGAAGTTGATAAGCGGTATCTGTTCTTTTGCTTCCCAAGGGCTTTGCTAGCATCTTAGATATAATCATGCACTACCACCAAAACGCTGACTAGTCTGAAAAAAAAAATCAGTGGGTTCTGCTTCAAGTAGCTCATTCGCTATGTTGCTACCATTTTCCAAAAAATCCTGTTTAGAATTGATGCAATGTGGCTTGTCCTTTGGGCTTGAAGATCACTCCATGTGGGGTTTTAACCAAACTGGAAAACTTCCACACATTTGTAAAGCAAAAGGCACATTTCAGGATATTCATTATCTCACATCAAATAAAGCACTCAAGCCCCATCTCTAAAAGTCTATACGCCTCACCGGGAATCAGATGAAAATGATCTCATACTTGCGCATGCTAAAGACCTTAGGTTTTTTTGTAGGGATGGAGAAGGTGTGGAGTTACAGAGGACAGATTTAACATTGAAACGGATCAGAAGTGGTGGATTCATTGGCATACTTTGGCTAGAGACAGAAGTGTGAGAGGTATATCAAAATTGCTAGCATGAGTGATGATAAACAACAACTGACATTCAGCTTCAGAATCAGAAAAACAAGAGGGAATACTGGAGACTGTCAATACCTGGAGAACACAGGTGGCCTAAAGGGAATAGCTTCAATTCAGCTCAGCAGATTACCACTATGTGGAAACGCAGGCCTTGTGTTGCCAGTGCTACTTTTTATTATTTTCAAAAGAAGCTGCACATCTAAGTTCTATCCAAATCTGTTTGATTCCAAAATGCTAGCAACCATTTGTTTTTAACCCTGTCTGAGCCAACACTGCAGTGGGCAAAATCAAACAGGATTATGCGCCAGATTTGGCTTGTGGCTGACCAGTGTGCAGTTACTGACTCAGATACAGAATACACAAAACATATATAATCACTGCCAAAAGTAAAGTATCTTAAAATATATATTAATAGATGCATATTATCTTGTTTAGTGGGGGAGCTTCATGAACAAAATAACCAGGGCAAGAAAAAAGGATAGGGATGAAAGGAATTTAGAGGGAAAGCTAATCACCACCAAAGGTGTACAGACATGAAAATTTTCATCCTTTTTGTTTTTTTAAATATGGGGGTTCAACTGAGTTGAAAGATTACAGGTAGAGAGGTATGAGGTAGAAGAAAGCTCTAACTAATGAGAAGCGGATTATATACACCAGGCACTATACTAGGAACTTGACATACTATCTTCGTATTTCATTCTAATGGTAATGTGGTAATATTACTCTTATTTTCTAGATGTGAAATGAAAACTGGCAGGCATTAACCAATCTATAATCTGACAGCACAGAGTTGGGATTGATGTCTGTCTATAAAACTCAAGGTGCTTTTTGTTCTGTTTTTGTTTTTTATTTTTTTACCCAGCATTCTGTGATACTGGAAAGTAGGTTACACTTACCGTCTAGTGTTTCCCTGCCCAACAGGGTAGGCACTGGACATATATGGGCAATGAACACCTGAAATGTGGCTAATATGACTAAGGAACTTAGTTTTTAATTTTATTTAATTAATTTACAATTAAATTTTTAAATGACGAAATGTATTCAGTTATTGGAAAACTTTTAAATGTGTGATGAACAACTTGTATATGGAAATCTACTTTTGTAACTATAAATTTTGTACACTCCAAATGTATATCAAATAGTTGTGATGAATATTTATAATCTGAATTAAGATGTGAGTAAATACACACTGGATTCCAAAGATTTAGTATGAAAAAAGAATGTAAAATATTTTAAATATTTTTAATATTGACTACATGTTGAACTGATAATATTCTGGCTATATTGGGCTAAAAAATATATTATTAAAATTAACTTTACCTATTTCATTCTACTTTTTTAAGTGTGGCCATTAAAATACGTGTGGCTTGTATTATATTTCTATTAGATTGCACAGATCTAAGCCAATGTTTTTCAACATCACCTGTACCTTAGAATCAACTGGAAGCTGGATAAAAATATCACTGTCAGTCTACAATTTAATCACTTTGGGGGTGGGACTTGAGCACTCGTATTTTTAAAAGATGTCTCAGTGACTCTAATGTGTAGTGAGAAACAGAGGTACCATGCTTGAGAGATGTAACTTCATTCTGTAGGCAGTGGGAAGATGCTGACAAATTTTGAAACAGGAAATAACAGAAGGCTATCAGGTGTTGAAAAAAGATGAATCTGGGAATCTTGGGCTGAGAGGAATATATGCATGGATGCTCCTTCATGGTCCAGTCTGCTTAACTCTCAGCTTCATCTTCACCATTCTAGCCCTGGCTTGCTAGCATCCAGCCTCAATGACTTTCTTTCAGCTCCTCGACTGGCCAAGCTAGTCCCACCTTTAGGATTCTTACTTGCTGTTGTTTCTGCCCCCACAAAGCTCTTAATGCAGATCCCTACATGGATGGCTGCATTCTGCTACCCCTGTCTCCCAACCCAAATCTGATTCCCCAATATAAAATAGCCTTCCCAGCCCTGACCCTTGGTGTCTCTCATTCCCATCTCCATTTTTCTTCATCACCCTGACACTGCCTGAAAACTGCTCATTTATTGCTTACCTTAGTTCTTTCTTACTGCGATGCAAACTGTAGGAGAAGAGAGGATTTGTCTCTGTTGCTCACTGTTCTGTCTCCAGTGTCTAGAACAGTGACCAGCAAACAAGGGCACTTCAATAACTATTTAATGAATAAAAGAATGCACATGTCATACTTAACAACAAATTGTAAGCACAATGCTTTGATTTTCTAATGATTTACCAAAATTTTGAGATGTTTGCATAGTTTTAGGGCTGAAGACTAAACCCAAAAGAAATAATGAGAGACTCGATTAACACTCACTTTTGGTAAATCTCTATTCTTAAAGCTAACCTGATTGCTTGTCAGTTTGCTTGAATAGCCTATTACCTTATTTTGAAGTAGATGTATTTAAATTTATCTAAATGTGTTTTCCTTGAATAAAATGCCAGACTTATGAATTTTTAAAAAATCTCTCGATCTCTCATGTCCATGCATATATTCCTATATATATATGAATTTTGTATATTTGATGATGGTAGTTTCCATTAGCAAGCCTTCTTAAATAATTTGCTTTTATAAGTAAAGTGTTGACCTAAAAACAAATCAGTGCAGATACTGGGTTTTCCGTCCAACAGTAGAGCAGAAAAGTGCCGCTGAATCTAGACTTATAGACTTACATTAATATGTGCCTCATTTACTCCCTAATAATAACTTGGAAACTTTCATATTGCAATTTCTATCTTGGACATATAGATGCATTCTCAGAGAACATGTTTGCTTGAGAGTACATAAAACTGAAAAGATAACAGCTAGTGGTTATGAAAAGAGATTATTTTAATTCATTGACTGATTGTACTGCTGTTCTGGTCAACACTGTAAATATAAACAGTCATCCTTCAGAGATACAGGAACAAAAGAATGACATTTTTATTAGATGCATTTTACCTTCGAAAATTATCAACACTTTTATGCTCACATGGTGAGTCTGTAGTATTAATATCACATCTGATTTCTCTGAGTCTCAAAAGATTTTCAACTAACCCTCTGATGGTTTGTGTCCACACAAACCAATAGAAGGATTACATTCATCCAGGTATGACTTTCTCATCTGTGACAGGTATAATGTGAGCAATACTCTTTACATATTAAGTCAAGCATAATTCAAGAAATTACCAATGTAAGTTAATACCCTCCATTTCATTTTAACCACTTCTGAACACCATGCATTAAAACATTTTAAGATGGAAATTGCTAATGAAGTTTAGTTGCAAGGGAATGCAAGTATTCCTGTTATTGTCCTTGGATTGGACCCAGTAGAGCAGAACGTTAGCATTATTATTCTTCATTTGTCAGTTGCCAGAATCTTAGAAGCTAAAATTCTCAGAAGGGGGATGGAGGGAGCATTTAAGAGGGTCAGTGGGTAATAAGTCCCAGAGGCCATATTAGTACACCACAGCTCTGAAGAAAATGTTTCTATTTAGCTGGATGATGCCTTGGCAAAGTATCACAGATCACAGAGTAAATAGGTTGTGCTTTAGTCTTTACTAACTTAGCATACATTTGAACATTTATTTAAGATGCTCATGGTAAAATGAGCAAAATACATTAATATTACAAATTCCTATGTAGCCATTACAGTGAGGATCCCAAAGTCAATGGCTTCCAGGAGACAGTGAGATAAATTAGTGTAAAAGGCAAGAAGAAAGACAATGACTAGGGGAAGGGGCTGTGGGGTCTGGAGAGTACATGCTCCATAAAGGGAGGGGCAGCTGCATTTCCAGCCACCTTATTGTTGTCACTTAGGCGTAGTTTTGCCAGATCGCCAAATTTTTCAAAAGAAGACAAGGAAGTGTATTTCTATGTAAAATCTTCCAAATTTTAGAAGGAGACAACTAAAATCCACGTTTATAAAGATAACACGTGAGTTGAGTTGCTAGATTTAGAAAATAAAAATACAGGACATACAGTTAAATTTGAATTTCAGGTAAACAATGAAAACTATTTTAGCATAAGTATGGCCTAGACATTGTATGGGATATATTTACGTAAAAAGTTACTGGTTATTTACTCTGAAATCCATCTTTTAACCATGTACTCTCTTTTGCATCTGGCAACCTTTGTAACTGGCTATCATAATTTGAAACATATTTGCAAGCTAGATTCCTCACTTGGACTGCATCTACTTTTAAAAAGTCCTGCCTTCATAAGCTCCAATTGACTCTTCATTGGAATATTTAATTTGAACCACCATATTAGACTTTGTTATTCAATTACTGTGTTTCTGTTTCTTTGGAGTCTTGTTTTAACAAGCAGATGTTAAAGAATTTCCTCTTCTCTTTCTTTGATAATAGATCTAACTTACAGAGGTAAGTTCAAGAACAGAAGAAATGTTATATGAAGACCCTTGAATATGGGTGTTGAAGAACATAAACCCATAAGAATTTCCATAGTATAAAATAATTTGGACAATTGAATCAAGGGCAAAACAACAACAATAGTAACTAGCATACATTAATATATACAATGGGTTAGGTCTTGTCAGGCCCTTTTATATCAAATTGCTTAATCTTTTTGTTTCTATGAAGTGTTGGCACTATCATTATTCTCATTTTCTAGATGGAGTACTGAGGCACAGAGATGCTAAATGTCTTCCCTAGGGTAACACAGCTAGTACATGACAAAACCAGGATTCTAACCCAGATGTTCTGGCTCCAGAGCCTATTTACTCTATTATATTTTCACAAAGCACTAAAATCAGTAAATAGGAGACTGAAAGATAAGCAGCTCTAGGCAACATCCATCAGTTTTACAGAACACTGAGACAAAGATGTTTGAGTCAGGTTTAGATTCATGAACAAAGATCTGCTATATACAAAAAGCAACATATGGTATAATCTGTGCTGCCCTTTGGACATGCATAGATAAAAACAATACTCTTCCAAGATAATCTCTTCTTTAAAAAACTACAACACGAAGGTGAGAGGATAGCCTCACAGTCAGAAGAATAAAGTGACTGGCTTTATGAGTTGTTCTGTGAATTTTATGTTCTGTGCATTCTACAAAGTAATGGGAAATTAAATTAACACAGTTTTTTATAGCATTTTAAATTTTTACCACAATTAATTTCCTGTACTACTGTATTTGGTTCTGCAGCAATCATTTGAGTACATTTAACTCACATATATAATGACTTCCTCCAAATCAAAGAAAGTCATTTTTTTTCTTACTTACTTCTTAACGACCCACCTGTCTGCCTTATTTTATGTGAAAGGTTATAAGGCATAGGCCACTTTTGCATCTTAAAGTGAAAAGAAGTTTAGGCCTCCTTTTTATTTTATTTTATTTTTATTTTTTGAGACAGAGTCTCACTCTGTTGCCCAAACTAACAATCTCAGCTCACTGCAACCTCCCCCTCCTGGGTTGAAGCAATTCTTGTGCCTCAGCCTCCTGAGTAGCTGGGACTACAGGCACCTGCCACCATGCCCAGCTAATTTTTTGTATTTTAGTAGAGACAGGGTTTCACCATGTTGGCCAGGCTGCACTCGAACTCCTAAGCTCAGGCAATCCACCTGCCTCGGCCTCCCAAAGGCCAGGTATTACAGGAGTGATCGGCCATGCCCGACCTAGGTCTCCTTCTAAGAGTCTTCTCCATCCCTTTAATATCTTTTTTCAGAAAAGATCTCTTTTTGCAATTAATAAGGCATATTGCAGACATTGGATATATACCACTTTTCATCTCTCTGGAATACTTCCCAAAGAAACTCTGGGCAAACCTTGGTAACAAGAGACAGACATGGCTGGCAATTCACTTGGCTTCTGACTCACACCAATAAAAACCTATACCTCCAAAAGGAAGGTTCAATCAGTTGCACAGAGAAGGCTTTTATAACCCATCTGGTACACACTCCTTATTTTATAGCTGAGAAGTTCAGGTCAGATGGAATGGGCTTACTAGCAAAACCTTTCACCCCACTTTAGAAAGGTTTCCTGAGATTTCCTTTGCCCTACCCAGTCGGGTATAGTAGGCCCAATGGTTGCAGAATAGACAATGTTTGGGCAGATCAAGTACACCTAGGGAATCCATATCTGCAAACATCTCTTTCATCAGCTGTAAAATTAGAGAGGAGGAAAAAGCATTCTGAGTTTCTTCCTAGCATTCTTAATATTCTATAACTTCCAGAATTATTTTCAATAACTTGAGCCCTCAAGCACATGGAATGTTGACATCTAGGTCCTTCAATGCAGAGAGTAAAATTCCTCCTGACCTCAAAGCTACTCACAAATAGGTTATGTTCCAAAAGTGTTTGTGAGCAAAATTTTAGTCAGAATAATTTTGCAGTGGAAAATGTATTATATACGGTGGTGTGACAGGCCAGGTCAGAAGATAATAAACTTTAATACTAGGTGAGTATTTCTCCTTGCAGGGCACAGGGCTGGATCCATGTAAAGTTTAGAAATGAGATAATCTTTTTGACACTTTCCCAGATTTTATTATTCTACCTCCATTTCTCATTATTCATTTTTTTCCAACCAATGCTACCTCTTGTCCCCAAAGAACTAGAATTTGGTAAATTATTTACTTGCTCTTGGCACTAAATAAGATTATTTTTCCTTTGCTAGAAGGAAAGCAAGCTTGTTAAATAAATATACCCTAAATTTTAGGGCTTAAGAGCCCCCAAATCTTCATAGAATTTGTCTAAATTTTTAAAACTTGTTGGCTGGGCACGGTGGCTCACGTCTGTAATTCCAGCATTTTGGGAGGCTGAGGCGAGCGGATCACTTGAGGTCAGGAGTTTGAGACCACCTGGGCCAACATGGTGAGACCCCATCTCTACTAAAAATACAAACATTAGCTGGCATGGTGGGGCACACCTGTAGTCCCAGCTACCCAACAGGCTGAGGCAGGAGAATTGCTTGAACCCAGGAGATGGAGGTTGCAGTGAGCAGAGATCGCGCCACTGCACTCCAGCCTGGGCGACAGAGCGAGACTCTGTCTCAAAAAAGCAAAATAAAAAAAACAAAAACAACAACAAAAAAGAAAGCTTGTGCTATGTTTTACCTCCATGAACAGGTCCAAATTGCCAAGCTGAGTCTTTCACAATTTCTCCACAACCACTCCTACCAGCCCATTTTGCCTTCTTACTCAGCAATCTAACCACACCAAATGGCTTGCCAATCATGTTCTTTTTTGACCTTTCGTGTACCAGTTTCCTTGTTTGGAAAGTCCTTCTCTACCTGGAAATATTCATCAAGACAATTCAATTGCTAATACTTTTTTGAAGCCTCCCCCCAACTGCAAGTGAACAGATGGATGGATGGACGGATGGATGGATTAAAAAAAAATTCCTTATCTAAATCTCTAATTTGTGGAATTTAGGCAAGATAAATCAAAGTAAAGAGATGAATGAGTAGCATAGGTAGAAAATAGGAATGCAAAGCTCACAATTAAGTCTGAAGACCAGACCTGAGAAGGAATCTAATTTAGGCAAGATTTTTAAACCCTTCATTTCCATGAAGCTACATTAGATTAGAAGGCATTTTCACATGTATTCTCTCATTTGATTCTAACAAGCCTCAGAGTCAGCCAGGGAAGGTATTATTTGTTCCATTTTACAAATGTGAGAATTGAAGCTGCAAGAACAGAATTGCTTCTTTTCAGGATAGATCCGCTTGATTGCCTTTTCTCAAGATCAGAGGTCTCTGTCACCTGGTTGCTCTTTTGAAAAGTGTAGATCATCTTTAAATTTTCTTTCACTTTTGTTTACCCTCCATGCCTTGAATATTTTTTCCAAAATATTTCTGTGGCAATGGGGGTGAATGAAGATACAGAGATTAGATGGAGGCAGAAGTCTCATGTCCTCACATTTTACTTTTGATTTTCTCGCATGTGGATACATAAATGAATGATTACCTGTCTGCCACCCTAAAAATAAAATCTTTATTTTTCATGACATATTGTTCTTAGCAGAAGCAAAGGAATATGCTGTGATCATAATGAACCTTCATTACTTTCTTCAGTCAGTGACTCAGAGATGACGTCTGGTTTATGTTGCTTGTTTTTTTGTGTTTTTTTGGTGGGTTTTTTTAGTGGCATAAAAAAAAAAAAAGAAACAGGGAAGATGGCTTTCAGCTATCAAGCATTTTGATAATTAGCTTTATTGTTGCCTGAATCACAGGGCTGAATATCTGCCTCTTTATTATGGGTGTAACAATGACCCATTGCAATGAAACACCTAAACTGATTTATTTTACTTTTGGAGTAACAAGAATTGTGATATATCATTTTAGGGGAAATTGACTGTACAAGTCTTCTCATATGCAATGTAGCTCATTTAAGGTTAATGAATGTGATTGAGTGGCTTGATATACCTTTAATCTAGCTGCACATTTTATAATTAAGGAAAGAATACATTATGAAGAAGATTAAGAATCCTAAAGGACTATTCAATGTTATTTTTCACAGAGGTTTTGTGTTTTTATAAAAGATGGACACCTGATAATCATATGTTGACAAATTTGTTTGAGTCTTTTCCCCATTTTCCTATTTCCTTTTCTCCTACATTTATTTCATTGACTTGTTTGTCATCTCCGAACAAGTCAGCATGTCCGTGACAACGGTAATGTTAATTTAACAAGTAAGTGGCAACATGACCTGGGAGAAAAGGTTTCAAGAATGCTATGGCATCACGCAATAAGACAAGTTTCCTATATGCATTCATATTAAAAAGAATGAATTTTATAATTTCACACTAAAAAAATCCAATCTAAAGCTTTAATAGTTATAAATTTTAATATTTCTTAAATCTATGATGTGTCCAATATTGAAATTCAGCCAGAATAAAAGTTTCTGGTTGGAAATATATAGTAAAATGCTACCAGTGTATAAACTCAGAAGTGTAGTTATCCTCTAGCTCAGGAGATGGCAAGCTAGAGCCCATGGCCCACCCCATTTATTGCTAATAAAGTTTTACAGAACACAGCAACACCCATCTGTTTACATATTGTCTATGGCTGCTTTTCTGCTGTGATGGCAGAGTTGAGCAGTTATTTGGGACAAAAACCAAATGGTCCACAAAGACTGAAATAAGAAGTTCATTCTTTGTACACATAGGGAAACTGAGGCCAAAATTACTTGTCCAACGTTACACAGATTTTTAACATTTTATTGAAAATATATTCTCATAAGTAAGACCTGATATTCATCACAAAAGGCAATGTAGAAGCTTGGGCTTCTGAAATGAAAAAGACCTGGATATAAGTTTAAGGACCACCAATAAGCAGTTATAAGGCCTTAAGCAAATTACCTAGTCCCTCCTCAAAGGACAGATTTTTACCCAGAGTCCATTCATCTTATTCTTCCTGAAATCTCAACAATGTTCAGTTATCTCCTCTGTAAACAATGGGAGGGAAGAGAAAAGCTGATTCCATCTCCAACTTCAGGAATGAGCTCTGATTTGTATAAAGTTATAGTAATTCCCTTCCCTCTTGCTAGGGATTGGCTCAGAAATTGGCACAAGACCAGAAATGACTGATGCGATTTGCAATTTGACTAAAGGGTTACTAGAGGTTTCTTCGATAATTCTTCCTTTCTCCAGAGATTCACAGGGAGCCAGTTTCTCCCTTTCTACCACAAAGCATGAATAAGAATGTATTTTGCTCCATTCAACCTTGGCAGCCATCATCTAACTGTTTAAAAAGTAGGGGAAACAGTTGAGCACAAAGCTGACAACTAGATTAGGATAGATTTAATAGAATGACAAAAAAAAGCAAACTAGCATATGTGTTTCTGTGCCTGGCTTATTATACATAACATAATGCTCTCAAGGTTGTTGTTCATCCATGTTGTCGCATATTGCAGAATTTCCTTCTTTTTTAAGGTGGAATAATATTCCATTTTATGTAGATATCACATTTTCTTTATTCAGTCAGATAAGAACTTTGTTCAACACAAAAGTTAAGACAGGAGAAAAACTTGCTTGCTAATGTAAAGTCAATTCATGCATTCTTTTTTTAATTGTATTCACATAATCAGGAATTCGTAAGGTTTTGGTCTTATTTCCCTTCTGTTACACTCAAAACCAGAAATTAAATAGAGTAGCATGATAAATGGAATTAGTGAACATGATCAGCAATGTACACTAACGATTTTTCAGGAAAGGACAGTAGACAGGAGGCCTCTCTCCCTCTTTTTTTTTTTTTTTTTTGTTTGTTTGTTTGTTTGTTTTTTTTTTTGAGACAGAGTCTCGCTCTGTTGCCCAGGCTGGAATGTAGTGGCCCCATCTCGGCTCACTGCAAGCTCTGCCTCCTGGGTTCACCCTATTCTCCTGTGTCAGCCTCCCGAACAGCTGGGACTACAGGCGCCCGCCACCATGCACGGCTAATTTTTTGTATTTTTAGTAGAGACGGAGTTTCATCGTGTTAGCTAGGATGGTCTCGATCTCCTGACCTCGTGATCCGCCCGCCTTGGCCTCCCAAAGTGCTGGGATTACAGGGGTGAGCCACCGTGCCTGGTCACCTCTCTCCTTCTTTTAATGGTGGAATTCTCCTCACTTTCTGGGCCTCTGAGGATTACTCAGGGCAGAAAAGGAAAAAGTAAATCAGTTTAAGAGAGACAGATAAATAACTGTCTTTGGTCTCAATGGAGTTAGTACTATGATAACTCAACATCACAGTCCAGAAAATCAGGGACAGTCTATGCAAATCTAAGAAAAAAAAATATATCTTGATCTTGTAGAACATAACTTGATTTACCCACTTCAGATCAGTGTGTGATGGTTAATGTTGGTATCCTTACCATGAAACACAGTCATTGTGAAATGGCAAGATGGCAAACAAACAAACAAACTATAATTTGTAAATATTTCACAGAAATCACATATGATAATTTTCTAAGTAATGGGCAAGAATTTTTTCAAGTTTATAAGTAGTTCATTAATAAGAAGATGACCCAGTAATTCTGGGAAGTACATGAATATAAAATAAACATACCAAAAATATATTCTTATGCTATGTTAGTAAAGTTCCATATGCTGTGTGGAGAAGTGCCTTGTTTAAAAGGTGATTTCCAGGTTGCAAACTCAGCCAAACACACGCAGGCTAAAATATCATTAGGCAAAGAAATTTTACTGCCCCTACTTAAATCTAAAAATGATCATAAGTGTTCCCCTCTGCAATGATATGACAAAAATATTACTATGTTCCCTATACTTCCATCGCATTTTAGAAGAGTACGGCATTTTGAAGAAAAAGAAATCTGTTTTTTTAACCACTGAACTAACCAAAAATATTCAGATTTTCAAAAAATATAACAGGAAACCAATAAGATAAATTAGTCATTCATTCTTACATCCACTCCATAGTTAAAAATGTTTATTGAGAGCCTAGTATGTGCTAGAAAAACATTTAGACCATCTACACACTTTGTATATAAACAGTAAACTGCACCCAAGAAAGCCTTCTGTTAGAGCTAGAGAACAGGTTTGCATGATGGTTTATATAAATTTTTTAGAACCTTTTTAACAGGCAGCCAAACCATAAAGCAAAAAGACAACAGTTTATATGTATCCTTTTAAAGGGGGATTAATTTAGGTAGAGACACAGCAGAAGCTTTCTGAATTCACAAATGCATTTATTTAGGGCAAAAGGTGAAATGTCACTTCTGGGATTGATAGTGTTTGGTTTCACCCCGGTCTCTGATGATCAGTCTTAGACTCTAAGCAGCGTTGAATCTGGAAAGAAGAGTGGGTGTGAGGATACTCCGTGTAATGAAACGTGCCAGGTTTAATTCCCTTTATTGCTTGGTCAGGGCAACTGAATTAACCAGCCACATCTGTTCACTTTGGAGTACCCAGTCTGGGTTCTTTCTCTTATGCAACAGGGTTCTGCTAGTTATTACATTGTTAAGCCTATTTGACCCCTATCTGTTTCTTATCTCTCCTCATGCAGAGGGGTGGAGAATCCATTAAAATTTTGAATATAGACCTGCCAACACGATCATCTTTCCTATGTTAACAGGGAACTACTCCTTAAACAGGACTTCTTTATTGGCACAGATCTTTTACAATATAGTTAGGAAAAGAAGAAAAGCAAGAGACTTGAGACCCACAGAATTTAACGTGTACTTGCTTTTGTTTTGTTTGTTTTTCATTTTTTCCCTCATGACTAAGAGCAGATCACTAAAATCTTCTGCTCTGTTGTTAGGTCTAAAATATCTTATGTCGTATTTTACTTTTCTCTAAAAGCCATCATCCATTTCTAATTCTTTGACACTATGAAACTTTAGGTCTAAAAATACCTGTCCAGGTCTTCTTATAAAGCTCATGATCATTTTAGAAAAAAAAAAAAAGAATTGGTTTTCTTAGATGGCAGCAAATGCCGTTAAGTAATCCCTAAATCCTACAATCTAATGCTTTCTTTTCACAAAATAAACTTTTTTAATGCATTTCAATCCTGATTCATTTAGGTGATGACAAGATAATTTTTCTACTTCAGGCTTCATTGATGGCCTTGGTGTTTCACAATACCAGGTACCCCAATTTGCCAACCTGCCATGGTTTCAAAAGAAGCTCCTCGACATTCCCTTACCAATATAATTGTACTGGAAAACCTTATTATATGCTAGTATCAGTTATGCCTCATAGTAGTAATCTTACAATCAAACAAAAACACAGAATTAGGAAGTAAACTTGCCCAAATTATAGTCAAACCTACCCCTTTCCTTCAGTCAGACCTACCACTTTCCTTCAGTCACTGCTTGAATTTCTTTCTTTATTTATTTTTGAGACGGAGTCTCGCCCTGTTGCCCAGGCTGGAGTGCAGTGGTGCGATCTTGGTTCACTGCAACCTCCCCTCTCTGGGTTCAAGCAATTCTCCTGCCTCAGCCTCCCAAGTAGCTGGGACTACAGGCATGCACCACCATGCCTGGCTAATTTTTGTATTTTTTAGGGGAGACAGGGTTTCACCACGTTGACCAGGGTTGCTTGAATTTATTAATGTGGTCAGCTTTTCGGGAAAAAAAAATGGCTTCTGTTCATTTCTTTCATTTACCTGGAATCAGAATATGGCTGTCAAAGAAGCCATGTATCCAGGCTACTGATAGAAAAGGTGGAAAAGGTATGTTCCCTAGAGTCTTTACATTTTAATCTTTTGACATGGGGTGCTACAGGATTCTAGTTATGGCCCGTTTTGATTATTAGTAGAGAAGTCAAGGACATTGAAAGTTAGAACCAGAAATCTTTCAGATCAGGACAAGGGGAGGATGGATAAGAGGGTGGAATAATGTGGGAGTTAAGTTTTTTGTCCTGATAAGGCTCTCTCTTCCACTTTACATGTCCGGGTAATATTTTAAAGACATAGTTACAATGATATCTTCCCTCAAATAAGACTTTCCAATGGCCTCTTTTTATAATACTTAGAATATAATCCAAACTCTTCACATAAGCCCACAAGGTCTGGCCCCTGCCCATATCTTTAGCTTCACCTTGTACTACTATATTCCCCTTACTTTTTGCACTCCAATTATGTTAGCCTTTTTTCTGCTCCACTAACAGGCCAACCTTACATGCTTATTTACTCAAGGCTGCTGATAGCTTATAAAATTTTCTTTATTCAAATAAAAAAAAAATACACACACACACAAACACACACACCCTCTGGTGGACACAGTGCTCCCCATGGTATATGCTTGGTAAAAGGGACAGCCTTTGTGGAAAAAAAGGTCCCCCTAATTCTCTGAGAGGATGCAGCCCTGTACCTGATAGCACAAATTTGTAAGAGGAGCATGAGATTTCAACCCCTACATCTCCCTTTGGTTGGGTTCCTTTGTGCAGTGCACATACTGCACAACCTTCCATGGCAGCCTTGGAATCCCTCTCCCTGGAAAGTTCTTTTGACAAAATTCCCATGTGTGGTTGTATCTCATTACTCAGATCTCAGGTCAGATACCACTTCCTCTGACAGTTCTTCCCTACACTAATAAACCACTTTCCCGGCTCCACTACTGTCTACACACACTGTGCTTTTCTTATCTCTTGTAGCCTAGTTACTATTTGAAATTATCTTGCTTACTGGTTGTTTAAACATTTATTATTTGTCTCCTCCTCACTAGAAAATGAGCTCCAAGAGCCAAGGGATCTTGTAGTCTTGGTCACTATGATGTCTCCAGAACCAATGGCATGCCTGAAATGTTCCAGACATTTGGTAAATATGTCTTAAAACGACAGGGGAAGGTGGAGAATAGAGTTTAGTGTGAAAGAAGACTGAAATCAAAGGGCATACTTGGAAGTTATAGTCATAACCTTTGTGAGAGCTTTTCATTCTGAATGTGTTTGATCTGGGACATTACAAGACTTCTATAGAGTAAGGAATGGAAAAAGGCCAATAAAATCCCTTAAGGTTCTGTCAGCCAAATTCTTCTTGTCTTCTGTATTTTCATTTTATGGTTACCGAGAGGCCACAAATCCGTAAGAAGAATCCTGACAGCAATGTAGCAATCAGTCAGAAAAGGAGACTAAACTGAAAGGGTTTCATGACCATCAACCTACACGACAATATGCCTTAGTTAATTTAAAACCAATAGAACAATGCACTTTTACAAGTCAATAACCTTGATCTCCACAACTAAGACAGAGTAATTTAATAACAAATCATGTCCTGCGACATAAATCTATACTACTAACATTACTTTCTCAGATAGGAAATGAAATTATATGTTACCTGCCAAATGAGTTCATCAAAGAAATCAACATAACTCTCAATTCCTAAATAGAGGGGACAAAGCCTCTACCTCCCTGGGTAGTCTCAAATTTTCTTGTTAACAGGGACAAGGGGTACTCCCAAACATTAGCTGCCAAGGCAAGTATACATAACAAATTTGAATGACTGTCTCCTACTTGTGCCCTATCTGAGCTTAAGGTCTCAGATATGAGCTAGAGCCTCATGCTCCCTCATCAAGTACGCAAAGAACACTACCACTTACTATTATTTATATGCAAGTCTCCTTTTGCAAACTCAAAGTTTGTGCCTATCCATAAATTCTGAAACTCTGTGCCTGTCCATGCACTTATGAATAAAATCCAGACATTTAGGCATTCACACTGGGAATTGTAGGGATTATGACCCACAGCTTGGCTGAAGTTGGTCTTTGTGTGATACAGTCTTTATTAAATAGGATTAATAGTACAAAGAATTACAAAGGTACAATGCATTACTTAGACGTTTATGGATTTTACCATGCTTTTTTCCAGTTACAATGGCTCTTGCTCAAGACAATTGGTGTTAACCATTTGCTTGTACAAGAAAACCAGAGGAAGTAGTAATTTAACCCATTAGGTGGTGATACTGCAAGGACCAAAAAGAATTAAACATCAACTTTTCAAATAATTTATATGTCAATATGTCCTAAACTCCAGATAAAGATTTTTGGATGTTCACTTTGTTAGCCAAGGTATATTATTAGCCTGACCAGTCTACTTAACCTGTTTTTGTTTTTGTTTTTCCTTTGCATCTATAAAACAGGATAATTGTAGTAAATGTAGTTAAATATGGGGGCTATAAACGGTGTAATATTTATAAAGTACTGAGCAAACCACCAGGCACATATTAATACCTAACATTTGTTGATCATCTTCTATTGTATCATTTTAATATCACTCGTCCAAGAAACTGTGGTCTTCACCACTATCATATTAAAGCAATAACCCTAGGTTCATAGAATTTGTGCCACAAAAACAACAAAAAATAGAATTAAAATTTTTGTTCTCATCTAAAACAAATATAGAACTCCTTATGGAAGAAATGGAAAACACCATGGTGAAATTTTTAAAGGAGGAACTATTAGTTCTAATGAAATAGACTTATCTAAATCATCATAACGTGGCAGAATAGCTAACTCTATTAGTTCTCCAAGTAGGATATCTTTATACAGTTTTTGAAATAATAAATTATCTGCCAAATTCAACACTCCAAATGTTTTCACCTAGCACTGCCATCCTTGTTCACATACCCAAGAGGCTGTTTATTAAAATGCCAAATGGACAGTATCTCTGGGCAGAGGGTTTGACTTCCTAAAAGATACAGCTCCTTTGTAAATTTTTTTTTTCTTTGAGACAGAGTTTTGCTCTTGTTGCCCAGGATGGAGTGCAATGGCACAATCTCAGCTCACTGCAACCTCTGCCTCCCAGGTTCAAGCAATTCTCCTGCCTCAGCCTCCTGAGTAGCTGGGACTACAGGCATGCACCACCATGCCCGGCTAATTTTTTGTATTTTTAGTAGAGATGGTGTTTCTCCATGTTGGTCAGTCTGGTCTCGAACTCCTGACCTCAGGTGATCCACCCGCCTTGGCCTCCCAAAGTGCTGGGATTACAGGTGTGAGCCACCACGCCCAGCCTTTCCTTTGTAAAATTTTGCTGCTGTTCTGACACCTACTCGTGTCACGTTATTTACTTCCTATGGTTCGTGGTTCATGTCTGAACTGAAAAACTAAGAACTATAACCTAAAACCAATAAAAAATTCAATTATATTTTGGGATGAATTCCAGTGATATCTTTAATACTAACTTACCCATTTAAGAAGTGTAGAAATCTCTAAGAAAAATGTTCCCAATTCAGATACTTTTCTGGCTGACATTACTAGCAACCTAAAAACCAATGTGATGGATGGAAAAAGTTAAAAATATTTCACTCTGTGGTTCCAACATTTCAGAAGTGCAATTGCAGGGAACTAGATTTAAGCTTTAATTAGGAAACATACATATCACAGGGTTGCTCCTTCCCTGTGATCAGTGGGAAAAAAAAAATTTTTATGTGCATGAGTTGAAATGCAGAGATCAATAAAAAGCAAGTTTGACAACCCCAAGGCCAAAGAAGCTTTGAGGAATTTGGAGATTAAAAAGATTATCTCCATAAACCTGGGACCATGCCATTCAACGATTCTATCACTGGGGCTACAAACTAGATGCAGAAATCCTTTGCTCAAATATTATTAATTAGACATTTTTAACACCTTATTCCAAAAAGAAAAGGTGTATTTCACAAAAGCCTGTTAATTATGTAGTCATTTATTTATTTTGAGCAGTAAATATTTTTATACTTGTAATTATTGAAAATCAGCTGAGGCATAGTAATATGAAAAAAACTTAATGAATGTATCAAAAAGGAAACAAAAGGGGAAAGACGTGTAAGAAAGAATGCTTCTATGCCTTTGCTCAGGTTTATAACAGGAGAGAATGGAATAGAGTGAGTGTGTATATGTGTGCGTGTGTAGGGGTGTATGTCACGCAAACATGCACACCTGTACATCCGATTGTGTAATCAATATAAACGATATGACACATAATTCAAGCCTTAAATTTAACTTTGGAGCTCACGTCTCTGTTGAAGGGTGTAAATGAGTTGAGCTGGAAGGCACAATGGAGTTGATCCTCTCACGTTTTCTGGTGGAAGCTTATTTCTTACAAATGCTTGACAACCACACACTTGGACAGCCAGGCCTCTGATCATTTCTGCCTCTCATGTCTCGATGTGGAGCACAAAGCTGTAAGTGGGACATTCTGCAGGACCGATGCTAAAAGCTTTGTTGTGGGAATCCCTAAAGCATATTCCTATAAATAGGACTGTCTGCATTCACTCAAGTTGTGCACACTGACCCAAATAGGAACGATATACATGACTCACAAATGTGTACGTCGATACGCTGCAAACCTAACGCACAGGCACGGTTCCCAAACCGTGGATGTTTCCTTAGAAACATCCTCAGCATTTCTAGCTGCCTCTCCTCCTAGATGGTATCTGAGAAAAAGTCCAAACAAATGACAAATGGAAGAAAATCGTTTCAACATGTATGCAGGCAACCCACATGATAGAAAAACGGCCAAATGAAAAATAAACTGCTAATTCACAAAGGTAATGCAAATGACACAACTGAGCACAAACACACAAAACTGATCAAATGTAAGGAGACTCAAGTGTCCTGCATTTTGGTAAATGGAAGTTGTAATAAAAACTGGTTTGACTCATCAGATTAAGAAAAAATTGAAAGACTGGTAATCTCAGTGCTGCTAAGAGTGTAGGAAAACAGGCAGACACATTCATCCACCGCTGGAAGGAGTATGAACTGCTGCCCCCTTTTTAGATCTTCTTCTGACTCTATTAAAAATTTAAAACTATATCAACTCCTTTATTCAGCAGTCTGAATGTTAGAAAGAATCTACCCTATGACAGAAAACAAACAAACACCAGTCATATGCAAGGATATATACACAAGTTTGAAGCTGTAAGAGCCAAAAAAATATAAACTACAGAAATCCCAGTAACAGGGAAGAAAATTATGATATACGCTACGTGTCTTAGTTTGAGTTCCCCAGAAACAGACCCTGAGATAGCATTCCTGTAAAAATGATTTATTTTGAAGTGTTCTCAGGAAAAGCAGGTAGAGAAGAGGAACGGGGAAGGGAGGGAGGCCACTGTGCCACCTCAAGCAACATCCAACGGTGGGTTACTGTGGCTTAGTTGCACAGGGAAGCTTAGGAGATGGCTCTGGTCCCATTCAGTGTCATCCCAGATAGAGCCCTGCACCTGTTAGTCTTTTGTTCCAGGCTGCCCCCAAGCAAATGTAAAGCAAGTTCTGGCCCAGGCTGGCTCGTGGGAGTGAGGACATCAAAAATCATGGGCACAAAAGTGGTGGAAACATGCCACCTCACCTGTGGCACAGTGGCTTATTATGCACTATTTAAAATAATGGATTCGATACATACATTTAGCTATAGGGTTGAGCACTATATACAAGTGGAGGTGGTAGTGGGGGGCCTGTTAGACAACAATATGAATGCCAAGACTCAATTTTTGTGGGAGGCTAGGGGAGAAGCTTTATTTAATTATTTATGTGTTCAAGCCTACAATAAAGTGTGGAATGATTTACATCAAACATTAACATAAAAGTACCACAGGACAGCAGGGATGGGAAAGATTGAGGCATGGTGAAGAATTGAAGAGAAACAGTAACTTTTCGCTTTTGATACTTTTGTACTTTTGCTTGGCCTATGCAGTGCATTGCATTTATAAGGTAAGCAACAGCCAGTAAGGCAAAAGATTAAATATGCTTTATCAAAATTAATTTCTATAAGCTCTTTTCCTTAGATTGGAAAGACTCAGATTAAAATATTTCCTTGGAGTAAGCAGGCTTGTCATTTAGCTATGAGCTGGGAAATGCCTTTGGGACTTATGTTTATATTTGTGATCCTGAAACTGACAGGCAAGCAAGCATAGTCATTCTAGGCAATGGGGGAATAACACAAAAGGAAATGGAAATCTGTGTATTAAATCATTGTGATAATAATATTCAAGATGCAAGTATCTCCATTATTTATAAAATTAGAAGCAATCAGTAGCAGGAGAATGGGTAAATGAATTAAAATGCATTAAACAGAATTAGGTACTACAGAGGCATTAAATTACATTTTTGAAAATTTTATTGACTTAAAGGAGCATATTATAATGTGAGGCTAAAAGATGGAATGTGGGCCGGGTGTGGTGGCTCACGCCTGTAATACACCCCAGCACTTTCGGAGGCCGAGGTGGGTGAATCACCTGAGGTCGGGAGTTCAAGACCAGCCTGAGCAACATGAAGAAACCCCCATCTCTACCAAAAATACAAAATTAGCCAGGCGTGGTGGCACATGCCTGTAATCCCAGCTACTTGGGAGGCTGAGGCAGGAGAATCACTTGAACCCAGGAGGCAGAGGTTGCAGTGAGCCGAGATCACTCCATTGCACACCAACCTGGGCAACAAGAGTGAAACTCCACCTCAAAAAAGAAAAAGAAAAAAGAAAAAAAAAAGATGGAATATGTAGTTCTGAATATATAAATGATTCTTATCACAGTTAAATATATCATATAGCTATACCCCCATATGCATACATATGTATCCATGCTTAGAAAAATGCATTTCTCCTGAAGAATATATGTCACCTAAACAATGGTCAGACCTAAGATATGGGAATCAGGCTGATTTTAAAAGTTTCTTCTTTTTACTTTTCTGCATTGTTTTAATTTCAGCCAATGCCATGCTTTATAGCATTTTCATCAAGCAAGACGAAATTAAATGATAAAACAACTTACTTCTAAGAAGAAATGACTCTAAAGAAACTAATTCCCTCAATTTAATAATTTTGAGATTAATAGCAAAAAAGGGTATGTACATTCTCTTCTACTGTTGAACTGACCAAATCGAATTCCCTAAAAAGTATCTAGTGTCTGTTTATTCTGATATTTTAGCAAAAATCACATTAAGTGTATATATCTGGTCAGCCTGGCCATAGAGTATCTGGGAATTGTGCGTGCAATTTTAGGGTTTCCAAGTTGATTCCAAGAAAAAAGTTGTGCAGGGACCCAAAACTGCAGGCGTTTTGGGATTAGAAAGGCTAGTCTACATGGAAAGGTCTTCATTTACATCCTCTCCTACCATGTCCTACCTCCTTCCACGTCCTACCACAATTAACTTCAAGACTTCAGCAGTTAAAACAAAAATGAGCACCAGGCACGGTGGCTCACACCTGTAATCCCAGCACTATAGGAGGCCGAGGCGGGCTGATCATGAGGTCAGGAGTTTGAGACCTGCCTGACCAACATGGTGAAGCTCTGTCTCTACTAAAAATACAAAAATTAACCAGATGTGGTGGCACACACCTGTAATCCCAGCTACTCAGGAGGCTGAGGCAGGATAATCACTTGAACCCGGGAGGCAGAGTTTACAGTGAGCCAATACCACGCCATTGCACTCCAGCCTGGGCAACAGAGTGAGACTCTATCTCAAAAAAAAAAAAAAAAAAAAAAAACCCACACACAGAAAAAACAAGAATGAGCATTTACTCTCGGCAAGTACATCTACTAGATAAAAATGAGTGAAGATTCCTTTTTTTAAAAACTAGCATATTAGAAATATTTCTGTGAGTTAAAAGTTCAGTATAGTACGCATTATTCATGGCAGGAGATTATCTTCTCTTCTACACCCTTGAAAGTAAAGGAAGCCATATTTTTGAAAGTCCAAGATGGTGGAAATAGAGCAACATCTTATCATTATTACTAAATGTCAACGGTTCTCCTAAAGAATGTTGTGCAGATTTTCAGTCAAAAAGTGGCACTCCCTTGTCTGACAGACTACTGAAATTCATCTATGTGGTACACAGGTGGGGTGGCAAACCTTTTATACATTTTTTAGATGTTGTCTACCCTCAACAGACCATTCCCAACTTTCAAGAAATCTTTCTGTGAATTCGTACACACTGAATGCAGAAACAGTGAAAGACACCACGAAGAAAGCCCTCGCTCGAATCCATACTATATTCCCTTGGAAACAGTGAGGCAGCAAAGTGACTCACAGACATCTAATTAAATGGGGGGGAAAAGTCCTTTTTAGTTTTTTTTATTTAAAAAATATTGCTTTGTTTAATTTTTCTTAATGACTTGCATTGCAGATATTGACCTTTTAAAATTTATTTATTTATTTATTCGGACTCTATTCAAATCATCTTAAGAAAACAGCTGGAAAGTAAAGTCAGTTCAAAGGTAAGTCCTGGGTGAATAATAGGGTTAGCCTGAATGCTTATTTAACTTTAAAGTTCATCTGACAGGCTTCCTTCCCACAATCCTTCTTGCACAAGCACGCTGCACAGTTGAAGAAAAGCTCTTCTCTGACATTCAATAACGTAAGGCCCTTCTAACCCAGTGGAGCGTACTGCCTAAAACGCACACACGCTGCAAGCTGGAAAACTATTAAAAATCTTTTTATATATCAAGTTTTATTTCACCACTAACAACCCTACTCATATTAAAATAATATGCCATGTACTTATTCAAGGAGTAATAACATTTACCATCTTTGGTTTTAAACACAAAGAATTCTAAAAAGCAAAGCCAATGGATCTAGCAAATATGACCTGAATTTATAGAATATTCCTTTTACTATCTTCCTTTCAACTGTGTTTTCTTTCTGCCTGAAATAAAAATGAACCAGATTACATAACACTGCCACAAAATAAATAACTTTTATAAGTGACGGTTTCTCTATACACTGTAAAATGATACTTTATTGAAGGGTAATGAATGGCTAGCTTAAAGCAAATATGGTAGAGTTTCTATAAAACATGACTTTTGTAACAGATCAAAAACAGAAACTGAACTTTTATTTTGCTAAGATCTAGTGCAATTTTATATTGTTCCAATGAGATGTAAAAATAAGCATTTTCCTCATCGGTGAAAACTAATCAAATGCTTTCCTGAATAATATTTTGATCTCCAATTTTAAATCATCTTTGAATACAACAAACTGGATCTATTATGATGGAGAAGTGCAAGGCTGTGAATTACCCATTATGTTGGAAAATCCAGAAGTTGTTTTAATTGGTTTTGAATGAAAGCATTATTCTGCATTTCTAATCATGTTTCTACTCCTAAGGCTAATACTAAAAATGAATTACAATTCCTGAGCAAAGGAATTGACTCGGAATCATGGCTGGGATTAACATTTTGTTACAGATAACCCACAAACCAGAGAATCCAAAAGCCTATAACTGAGAGTTGAGTATATTTTCTAAGTAAGAAGCTAAAACGCTCATTAGACACACTCCATGTGAATAATGAACCGTCTGAAAAGAGTACATGTGTTATGTAAAGCATTTTACATTCTAATGTACAATGAGTTCCTTCCCCAAAATCATCAGTTTAAGTATTTAGTCACTACATTTTACTATAGTTTGAGAAATGGGACATATGCAGGGTGGTCAACTGTCTTTCCCTGTAATTATACACATCTTCAAATTGCTCTTATCATTTAAAGACAAAGAAAAAAAGTTCGACTTTACCAACAAGCAACAAATACTGATTGTCAATCACAAACACACACCATAGATTAAACTAAACCGACATTTTCGTCACAATAAATTAAATTGATGCTACAAGACAGAAGCTGGTCATTTGAGCCATGAAGTGATTTCAACTAAAACTTCAAATATTAATGAGGAAATATAAACTGACCTATTCACTGACAATTAAGCAACTCTGATTTGAGCAGCAGAAATCATTTGCATAATGAAAATGCCCTTCCCCCAATTATTCAAATTACAGTTTAAAAGGAAAAGCACACTCAGGAAGAGGTTTTTATTTGTAGGGACGTTTTAATGAGATGATAGGTATCTTAATAAGTGTTCTTGGGTGAAGACACCTGGATTATTAAACAGCAATTCTGCTGTATCCTATGTTAATTCATAGCAAGATTTTATCATGTCTGTTTAATTTATTACAGACTTGAAGTACTTGGTATCACTTGCATGGTTTAAAGTAAACCAATTTAAACAAAAGATGAAATAAATGGTAAGTTTTGAAGATTTGAGCTTTTCAGATATTTTTCTTTTAGCCTAACAATAAGTCACCACAAGTACAAATCAGGAAGATCTGCATGAAATTAACTTCAAAGCAGCTTTGCAAATGAGTCCTAGAGGGTTTTATGAAAAAAAAAAGTCATCAAGCAAAAATAATTTTAAATATATTAATTGTACTGAATTATTTCTCATGTAAAGGAGATTTAAATTAAGGAGAAAAAGCCCTATCATTGCAAAATGACCTCTTGAGTATGTAATACTCCTTAATAGGCTAGTCCTACCTGAAATAATTAAAATGCATTATAATTATTCATTTATTATTATCATCATTATTATTATTTACAGACAGAGTCTCACTTTGTCACCTAGGATGGAGTAGAGGAGCATGATCATAGCTCATTGCAGACTTGAACTCCTGGGCTCGAAGAACAGGGGCTGTTTTTTTTTTGTTTTTTTGGTTTTTTTGTCTTTTTGCAGACACCGAGTCCTGCCATGTTATCCAGGCTGGTCTGGAACTCTTGGTCACAAGTGATTCTCTTGCCTTGGCCTCCCAATGTGCTGGGATTACAGGCACAAGCTACCACACCCGGGCTATTCATTAATTATTAACAGATTTTGAATGGCTATATTTTATTTTACTCCAGATTGCTTTAATCCATAGGCAGCTATAATTTTTCTCAAGATGAGACTTTTATCTTTGGAGACAGGGTCTCCTCTGTGACCCAGGCTGGAGGACAATGGCACGATCTAGACACACTGCAACCAAGATGAAACTTTTAAATATAGTGTTAACTTTCTATTTTAGTAAGAAAGAGTTCACATACAATTTAATATAAGATTAGTTTCATTTAGGCAATATAACAAGTTTTATAGATGGTTTTTCAAGTTATTTCACTTCTTCAGGCCCAAATTTCCCCTTTAGAAGATGAAACAAAACATTCTTCTAAGTAATTTACAGCTCTGAAATGGCTATGTTTCTCCAGTGATATTTTTCTGAAAAAGACCCTTTTTTCCTAGTTCTTTTTCATATGAACTACAGAGTCTGTCCAAAAATATCCCTTGTCATTTTACTGTTACAAGAAGGGTAAAATATTATGGTGAATAATAGAATCAATTTGATATAAGTACAAAAAGAATTTTATATGATATGAATTAAATCAACTCAAGCAAGTAACTCTTTCCATAAGTGACTCACTGAATAAGTAAAGGCAGGAGCAGCAAAACAGCAAAATAAAATAAGCATTTGGAGACTCCGAAGAGATTTGCCTACATTAAAAAAAAAGAGAGGGAGCTAAAATGGTACTCAAATTCCAGCTACCAACAAGCTTGTACCATGTGCTTTGCTGTATAAAACAATCATTCCCACTGATACAATAGTATTTCTTTTGATTCAATGGGCTGTTCTCATAGATAACTTGGAAAGCAACATTTGCAATAAAATGTGACAGGAGGGATTTTACAACCTGCTTTGCAAAAGCCTAAAACTTGATTAAATCTAATGGTCAGGGACTGTAGAAAGTAAGCAACATTTAATCTGTTTTTACTATTACTGTTAATGTTTTTTTTTTTTTAATTCCACTTTGGATAGATCTCAGACACTGTTCTTTTCATGCAATGGAGTATAATGGCAGATGTTCCCGCATGTCATCAAACTTTCTGCAACCCCATAAGTCATGTCAGTACTGATCTGTAAAATAAAGAAATCAACATTCAAGGTCCAAGATTACTCACTGTACACTTGAGAATAAGAAACATGAAATATGAATGCCTTAAGAATGATTTTTCCATACGATCTAAGAAAATAAGAGTAACCCACGATAGTTTTAGTGTTCTGAGGTAATTTTCTTTCCATTAGCAAACCTCAGTAGTTTTAACCAAGGCTTGCATGTAAAGACAATGAGACCAAACTCTTTTCCATTGCCAATGTACACCTATAACATTAGTCAAGGCCTCTCATCAAGTCAGGAGGGTTTTCAGTTAGAAAAGTGTAATTTCTGAATTTCAAAAAAATGTTTAAGTAGCTTTTACACTAGCCTATATTCCTAACTCGAAACTTCCACACCAAGACAAATCAATCAATCAATCAACAAACCAATCAGCCAATGCATTGGCTAAATGACTAAACTGTCAAAATAAAAATCCTAGAAACAACAACAACAAAAAACCACAGACAAAATTTTTAGAAAATCATACCAAATACAACAACTTACTCTTCCTCAAGAAGGTCCACTGGCCAGAAGGTTTTTACATAAGTAAATTACGAAACGTTTTAAACTACCTGTTGAAATTTTGGAAGAAACAATTTTCTACGAATAGAGCTAGGAGTTCTGATAAGCTTATCTGATACATGTAAATCACAAATTTAACCATTCATTCATTTAAAAAACAAGCTCTGTACAAGGTAGTGGGGTATCGCTATGTGTAAAAACATGGTTTTAGATTTTCCAATCTATTTTCTCCATTTTATTAAGTGGTTCCTAATCAAGCAATCAGACCAGAATAAATATATGATACACTCAAAAATCAAGTCTATATGATGACCCAAACATCTGTTATTTTCTGCACACAGAATTCTTTACCCATTACACTCTTGGCAGGCTATTTAAAGCAACAAATACACAAGTAAGTTTGGTAGTTAGAGGTCAGTTTTGCATTATAAAGCCCTGGATGTAGATTTCTTTCAAATACGTTCCCAATTATAAACTCTTAAATGAGATTCATAACATAAACCTTCCCATGAACAGCCCAATTTCATAAAGCAAATGGAAGTAAAATCCCTGATTAATTGCAATAGAGGAAAACTTCTAACAATCCAAATAGGTTGATATTTGATAGAATGTTTTTTTCTTGATCTTTCTAATTTCTGTTTTATTTTCTCCCAATTTTTCTCTAGATAGGGATCCCTGTTCCCATTTTCTGAACTCCCTTTAGCTGCTTAACCCAATGTAGATCTCTCTTCCACTGACTGTGACATTGCTGAAATTTAACAATGGCTTTTTCATTGCCAAATCTGATGGAGTTTCCAATCCAGATCTTATAGATGCCTCTACAGCATCTAACACAATCACAGCGTCCTGCTTCTTCAAAGTCTTCTCTGCCTTGGTTTTACAACATTCCTCTTACAGGGGTCTCCTCTGTTGGCACTTTTCAATCTTTCCCCACCTCCTTTTCCTCATTTTATGCTGGCAATGCTGGTATTTTCCAGTGTTCCATCTCCAGCTCTATTCCTTCCTCTCTTCTCTCAAGTTCCCTGGGCAATTCTGCTCACACACCACTTTTGGGGTGTTGTTCCACATCACTCCCTTGCGCTTCAGGCTTATATATCTAACTATATAAAACATTCCTACTCAAGACCTCTCAAAATCAAAATCGGACTTGGAATCTTTTCCTCGAAAACTTGTTTTGTTCTGATGAATGCTGCTCACCATCCACCATATGCCCACCATAACCCTGAAGGCAATCTGGGCTCTTCCTCCTTTCCTTCCCACTTCCAGTTAAGGCACGCTGACCCCTTTTCCTAAGTATGTTCTAGATCCCTTGCCTTCTTTCCATTCTTACTTTTATCACTTGAATCAATGGGCTCAGCATCTTTCAACAAAATCACCACAATGATCTTTTACCATGGACTCCCTAACTCCAAGCCTCAATCCTCCTAATCTATGCTTGATCTGCCACCAGACAATCTGCCTTCTATGCATCCCCACTACTTTTCGATGTGGTTCTGGTATTTGTCCCCTAAAAGACACTTTCTCAGTAACGGGCAGGACCATTTACTTAGTGCTCAAACCATAACCCTGGAGGTCATACTTTTTTCCTCTTTCCTTCACTTCTTGTATCCAATACATTAGCAAAGGCTGTCACCTGGTTCTCAAAACCATATCCCATATCCATCCGCATCTCACTACTTCTACCACTTTCACCTGAATTCATCACCTTTTATTCAGAAAACTGTGAGTCCACTAATTGTTCTACTCTTCTACTTTTAACATTGTACTTTCCATCTCCACAGAATAAACAGGGTTTTTTAAACATAAAAATTATTATGGAAAACTCCAAATATATACAAAAATATAATAATAAAATATATTATAATAAATATAATGTAACATAATAGCATATAATATAATAGCAGTATGAATTCTCACAGCTCATTAACTAACTTCAACATGGCCAATCCTTTTTTCTTCACAACCTCACCCCCTCCATCCTAATATTATTTTGAAGCAAAGTATAGACATATTTCATCTGCAAATCTAGCATATGTATTTCTAAAACGTAAAGGCTTCACTTTTGTAAACAGGCATATAACACTGCACCCAAAGAATCGAATTTCTTAACCACATCCCATGTGTGTTCACATTTCTCTAACTGTTCATGTATTTATTTATTTAATAACTTGAATCAAGACCCAAACAAGTCCCATACTTTGTGCTGACGAATATCTCTTAAGGTCCTTATAATCTATACATTTCTCCTCCAGCTTCTAGCAATGTTTTTTCTTGAAATTTTGTAGAAGAAACTAGATATTTGTCCTTTAGAGTTTAAGGGCAAAGTCAGAATTGTGCTGGTTGTATTACTATAGTGTCCTTTAAACATAGTCCTCTTTCCCTCTATTTTTTTATAAATTGATTACTGCAGTTGGAAGTTTGATGGTAGTTACGTTAAAGTCTGGTTCATCCAGGTGTAATTTAGGTACAGTAACATTGGAGGGAAGATGATCATGTTTTGTAAACATTACTACAATCATGGCATTCCTATGCTTAAAATCCTCCAATAAATTCTTACTGCATGGAAAATAAAATGGAAAATCTCCTTACCATGGCCTACATGATCCTCCTGATTGGATCACTCACCACCTCCCTAATCTTATCATGGACTCGCTTCCTCTCTGACCACCAGATAACCACATTTGGTCTTTTCTCCTTTGTATCAGCATTCCACTTGTATTCCCACCTCAGGCTTTTGCATGTATCGTTCCTTTTGCCTGAAAAGATCCAATAAGTGCTGAATCTTTCTTGTTACCACAGTCTTAGCTCAAATATCATACATTTTAAGAAGTCTTCTCTGCATGCCTTGTCTCAATTAACCAGTGCAGGCATGCACATAGATGTTCATTTTTGTACATTATGTACATATATGAAACTAGAGGGAGTACATAAACTCCCTCTAGTTTCAAAGTCCTTATTATTTTCTGAAATTATATTTATCTGTTGTTTATTTATGTTTTTGTTTAGCTCATCTCACTGGACCATAAACTGTATGCTTATTTACTACCTCAGTGCTGAAATTAGTATCCCCGGCACTTAGCATAAGTCAATAAATGTTTGCTGAGTTGATCAATGACTCAATGGATGATCTGATGCCTACAATTTCCAGCACTGTCTTCCCTGATGCTGTTTCTCAGACACAGTGAATGGATGCACCTGCTTTTCCCTAAATCCATCATGCTCTCTCTGGTCTCTGTACTTCTGTGTACAATACCTGATCTAACTTTCTTCTTTCTGCCACATTCATTCAGGCTAATTCTTTACGTTTTAGTTAAGCATAAGAAGCTACCCATTTATGTCACATCCAGAGTATACTATATTTATAAAATATGCTGTATGTACTTCAGGGAGGGCCCTATACCATAATGGCTAAGAGGAACGTTCTGGAGTCATGTGGGCTGGATTCTCTGTCTTTGCTCCATCACTTAAGTATTCAGATAAGGAAATTCTATTCCATAAAATCTCTTGACTTCAGTTCTCTACTCTTAAAAAGAATGAGGTTAATATAATAAACTCATAGAACTCTTTTGAGGATTATATAATATATGTAAAGTGCTTAGAATATTTAATCAATAAATATCAGTTCTTCTTGGTAACTATTCTGTAACTGATGTAACACCTCATATTGAAGCGGTTTATTTTGTGACTGCTTCTTAATACTGGTAGGTCTTCGCTGGCATGGTGGGCAGATGTTTTTGTTCTTTCATTTTTCTAATCCCAGCCCTGGGTGTGGCTTCTGATATATCATAGTATTACACACATGTTTCTTGAGTGTCTATAAGTGAATCTGGTTTCCCTTTTCCAGAAATACACCATAGGTAAGGGGGAATCAATAGTGTGTGAATAAAGACTAGTAATATATGCCCTAATAATTCACTGATATAAAACAAATCAGTGAGGAATAACTGCTGTGTGTATATTTGGAGAGGGGAAAGGGGCAGTTAGTCCAACTTGCCTTCATGGATCAGAGAAAAGAAAGAATGGAAAGTTAAATTCAAATCTAAGACCCCATTCTTTGAATATATCTCCTTCCCACCTCAGAGGGAAAAATTCAGTCTATTCCTCTGTAAAACCAATAGCTACATAAGGAATAGCATCTCTTCATCTAGGTACAAAATCTTTCCTTGGTTCACATAGTTAAGAATCCAAAAACATAACAATCGCAAAGCAGGCCAAACCCAATAATATTCATGAACTCAGAAAAATGAGCACAGGCTTTGTATCATAGCCCTTTAACCTCTGCAAACCACACATTAGATAAAGGCCAGCAAACTTTTTCTGTAAAGGGCCAAATAGTAGACACCAAAACATTTAATAAGCCGAAAGGCTCGAGAGCCACACTAATTAACACTGCTGTTGTAGTGGAATATCCACGGAAAACACGCAATTGAACAGTATGGTCATATTCCAGTAAACTTTATTTATGGATGCAGGCATTTTAATTTCATGTAATTGTTTTTCGTTTGTTTGATTTTTGTTGTTTTGTTTGGTTTTATTTTGTTTTTGAGACGGAGTCTCACTCTGTCGCCCAGGCTGGACTGCAGTGGCGCGATCTCCACTCACTGCAAGCTCCGCCTCCCGGGTTCACGCCATTCTCCTGCCTCACCCTCACAAGTAGCCGGGACTACAAGCGCCCGCCACCACGCCCGGCTAATTTTCTGTATTTTTAGTAGAGACGGGGTTTCACCGTGTTAGCCAGGATGGTCTTGATCTCCTGACCTGGTGATCTGTCCGCCTCGGCCTCCCAAAGTGCTGGGATTACAGACGTGAGTCACTGCGCCCAGCCAAAAATTATTCCTTTGATAATCTTTATAAAGTCACTGGTATAGCAAATTTTTTAATTAATATGAATCATAAAAATAAAAATATTATTTAAAATATCCTTATATTATTTGATGGGCAACCGATTCAAGGACTTTATTAATCCTAATTCCCTCAACACGTATTTTTTCAATGTCTGTCCATCTTATTTGTGACAATTTCCTCATTTATAAGAGAACAGAAATTTTTTTTTTTTTTTTTTTTTTTTTTTTGAGATGGAGTCTCGCCCTGTCGCCCAGGCTGGAGTGCAATGGTGCATCTCGGCTCACTGCAACCTCCGCCTCCTGGGCTCAAGCAATTCTCCTGCCTCAGCCTCCCGAGTAGCTGGGATTATAGGCACCTGCCACCACGCCTGGCTAATTTTTGTATTTTTAGTAGAGATGGGGTTTCACCATGTTGGCCAGGCTGGTCTTGAACTCCTGACCTCAGGTGATCCGCCTGCTCCTAACTCATTCAACCATTTATGGTTTAAAAATCATCACATGTGGCCGGGCGCGGTGGCTCATGCCTGTAATCCCAGCACTTTGGGAGGCCAAGGCAGCTGGATCACGAGGTCAGGAAATCGAGACCATCCTGGCTAACACAGTGAAACCCTGTCTCTACTAAAAATACAAAAAAATTTAGCCAGGCATGGTGGCAGGCACCTGTAGTCCCAGCTACTCTGGAGGCTGAGGCAGGAGAATGGCGTGAACCTGGGAGGGGGAGCTTGCAGTGAGCTGAGATTGGGCCACTGCACTCCAGCCTGGGCGACAGAGCGAGACTCCATCTCAAAAAATAAATAAATAAAAAATAAAGGAATAAAGAAAAATTTAAAAAATATATAATCACATGGTACATTTTTTTCTATGTTCCTGAAGGAAAAGAAATACATGTTTCTTCTACTCAACAGATATTTATCAAGCACATACTACATATGTGCAAGGCCATGTGAAATATAGCAACCTCTCTGACACTTGTGCAAGAATCATCCATCTTTTTTGTGCATTCTCAAGTAAGTGTCTGAAACAGATAAATGAAAAATGTCGTTATTATTTTGATAAACCTCAGAAGAAATGCAACCACCTTCACTCAAGGATCAATATGACCCACAGTTTTCAAGACCCAAAGTTCTCCAGGGAGTGCTACAAATTGACAGGATAGTCTCTTAGTGCTTGATCTGACATGAGATACAGTGAAAGACACGTAGACCTCGAGGTGAAGAGCCTCATCTCAGACAGTTCCATATTGGCCAGACAAGCAGGGTGGCTCAAGATGGCAAGCTACCTCTTCCACACGTCAATTGTGAATTACACTCTCTAAATTAGATCCACAGCTGTGATGTTCAGTTCCTAGAGTACCCTCCAAATAACTAGTTGTAAGAAAGAATAAAATAAAAGCCTGCCTTTCCCCCAGACATACACCTTTTGGCAATCTGCCATGCCAACTCACAAAGAACATGCATATCTAAAAAGGGACACTCCTGGGACTCCATCAGAAAAATGGCACATCAAGAGTTTGACATAGGGGCTGCTGTCAGGCACTCAAATGCATAACTTATTCCAGTTTTGGAGACCTACAGAGTAGATCTATGAAATAAACTTGGCTCAGAGGGAGCCTGAAATACTCAGCCCCAAACAAATGAGAATCAGGGAAACTGTGCCAAACTTTCCTCTTGTTTATTTTCAAAGGAAATGAGAAATCTTTAAAAAAGAAAAAAACAGAGGAAGCTAAGATGATCGCCCACAATATTAGCCCCTTTCTGGGAATTTGAAGGAAACTCGGAATCTGGCAATTGGCATGCGTGACAAAAAGTGAATTTTGCTATCTTTCACAAAGCAGATATTCTGCTTTTACCTAATCAACTGCACGTAGCTACAGAAGAGATCTGGAAGCGAGTGATAAATGTAGATGAAAGTTGATATATCAGGGTGCAGAGGTAACCTGGCTGAATGTAACACAGCTGTGTAGGTATGATATGTGTATATATCTCATATATATGCACATATGTACACACAGACATAATGGGAGAGAAGTAGAGGAAGAAAAAAGAAAAGTGAAAAAAAGATCATCTTTCACATACAAATACAAACAAACATACGCAAATATAGGGAGAACAGGAAACAAACCTATCATCTCTCACACACAAAAAATAATAATTCATGTCCTTTCAATTCTTCAAAAGCATGCTTCCTTTGAGCCGGATTATTAGATAATTCCTACATTACTATTTCCCACAGATATCCTCCCGAAATTGTGTCGGTTATTTAATCTGCAGGTTAAATTAGACGCCTTTATCACCTGGCATAACTTTAAAACCCTGCAACTGTCTTTACAACACATCTAGTTTCATGGAAAGTTCACTGGGTTGACATTTACTTACATGACTGAATTCTAAATAGAGATTAATAAAATGATTAATTTACTCTTCTTTTCTCCTCTCCCTCTCTCTCCTGTTTTCCCCATGAGTCATGGTTGGCCATCTACAAGAACAAAATATCTAACTGAGGAAAACTGTCTTCCAACCGCAGCATCTGTCTCCCTGGCAAGCTCTGCTGACAGTTGGGTCCTGGCTCTAGAATTGTTCAAGAAGCTCTTTCGGGCTGAGCTATTAGTGGGCTCTCACCCTCCTAGGTGCAGCTTCCTACGGATTCTTCCCCCTTTGAAAGATGGATTTATGTATATTTATCCTTCTGAGAATCTGCTACTGTGCAAATATCTCCAGTGGAGACCCTCGCGGGAGGGCACACAGGACACTGGAGCTCTTGCGTTCCTTTTCTTGCAAAATATCCATAAAATAGCTCTGCAGTTCCCAAGGGTCCGCTTCTGGGTATTATGTAAGCAGCTTCTCCTTCAGAAAGGGAAAAGGATGCATCAAGGCACAGAACTAAAAATGCCCACAGCTCTCTACGGGAATTTCAAAATAGCAAGTTGCTTAAATACCAAGGAAAGCACCTGGTTCCTCTCCAAGCCTAAAGATAGCCTACAATAGTTTAAGAAATGCAAGCAGGAGTGGGGGAGGGGAGAGGGGAAAGGCCACGCATGGCACTGGGGAGACTGTGGACTACACAGAATAATCTGGCAATGCGCAACTGAGCACGTTTTGTCATTTTTGAAATTCTATAAAAAGTACTTAGCTGAGGAAGCTTTATGTTTTGTTTTTGGAAAAGTGGTTAAGGTGGCGGCATATTTGTGTAGGAAGGATATTCCAGCAGCAGCACATCTGGCTCATTTTAATTCAGAGCCTGAAATACTTCTGTCAGGCTCTCCCTTTCTATCTTCAAAATTTCTTCCCAAATCCACTTTTTTCAAACACTAACTCCACCCTTAGACCCCCTGGAGGCTCCTGATTCTTCAAAGAATTTGGAGAGATCTCTTGTTACTATTAGATTCCATTTTAGATTGAGAAGAAAGCAGAAAGTGGTCAAGATAGGCCCACCTTTATGTTGCCTGAAATACTTTTGAAATTTGCTTCATTCAAAAGCTGGAATGACATGGAGCACTTTGAAACTATGAAATACAATGTCTACAGGACCATTTATTTGTAACCCTCTCATTGAAAGTAAAAATGATTTAAACTCCCCAAAAGATCTAAAGGCATTTAAGAAAATCCAAGTAGCTCCATATAGTTAATATTTTCTAAGAATAAATACAGAGAAAAAGATTAAGCCTTCAAAGATCTCACTTACATAAGTCTGACAACAACAAAAAATACACAGTGGAAAGGATTAATCTCAAACAAACCTCGGAAAAGAGGCTTTTGCGGACAACTATTCCTCTGGCTAGATCTCCTTTGTTTACAATAAGAAGTAGAATTTGGACCCATTATATATTCCTTCTTATGGTCTCTCTTGTGAATTGAGGTTGTTAAAGTAACATTGTAATTATCTTTTATCTATAGCATGATTTATTTATAATATGAAATCCCCTTTTACATTTTAAAAGTTGTAACAATTGAATGCTCTTCTTAATAGTAAAAAAAAAAAAAAAATTGGAATATGAAACAGATATTTATTTCACCATTTCTCTTCCAGAAATCTCTGAATGTTACTCCAAGAAAGACACAGCTACACATTTTGTTTTAAACATTTAAATTTTTTTTTCAGTTTTAAAGGTCATATTGAGAACCAAACCAACTATGAATATGAATAAGTTGGAGGCCATGCCTAAAGCTGGTGTCTTTTCAAGTAAAAGACAAGACTTACTAATAGGTCCATTTGTTTTCCATTAAAAATCTACTCATTGTATTCACAGCAATCCACATGCCAGTATGTGAGCCTGCTTGGACAAAGCGTTTGCTTTGTGTGTATCAGATGCAAAATTTACTTAAATTCCAGATAATTGCAAGTGCATCTGCTAGGCTTTGTCACTGGGCTATATGAACATTTTCACAGTGTATACAAAGAGCAATTATCCAACAACTAAAGAAAAAGAAACAGTCATTTCTGCAAATTATAGCCAGCTCCTTTATCAAGGAATAAGTTTGTGCTAAAAGAATACAACCCCCAAACATTTTTAAAAATAATACGTATTCTCTCACATCACATACATTAACTACACAGAACAAAAAAGGGAGCTTTTCAACTGTTAAATTACTAGGTCTGAAACAAGGATAACTGCAATTTTAAATAAAATTATCTCACAAAACATTAAAGTTTCCCCCTAGAGAAAAAAAAAACCATACGCACACAAATATCCAATTTAAATCAATTTGATGTACTGGTATATGTTCTTATTCTCTATTCATGACAAAGTGTTTCAACAACAGTCACTTCTCTATTTGTCATTAGTTTTTCATCCCCTACTTTGAGATACAAACTCACAGAATCAAGAACATGAAGAAAAGTCAGAAAAGGAAGATTTGGAAAAAAAAAAAAAAAATCAAAACACCAAACCAAACAACTTGAACTAAAAGACTTAATTGAAACATTTTTGTTCTATGCATTCAAAATTCAATTCCAAGCAGGCCTCAGGCATTCTAGTTGGACTATTCTATCAATATTTATCTTTCATTCTCTCTTTCACTCTTTCCTTTTTTTCTCTTTTGCTTTCTTTCTTTTTTAACTTCATGCACAATCCCAATCCAACTGTCACACTCAACATGATGAGCCTTCTTTCAAAGCCCAATCCAATTTTCAGACTTTTACACCTCATGCCAACTAAACAACATCAACAGCTCTTCTCTTCAACAGTCTAATAGCGTAGATCTGTTCTTTTTAACAAATTCTCAAAGCTATCAAAAAATGATCACAGTGTTGTTGTTAGAATAGAAAGTAAACTATTTAACAGAAAAGTAAAAAATTTTTGTGACAGTTGACCTATTTGAAATCTATAAGTTTAGTGGACATTTATTTCCTGTTTCACCTTCATTTAAATATCTTCATTATCATTTTGTAAAATGTATTATGTTACCGGCCAAAGCTATTAGTCGGTAAAAAACCATCTCCGAATTCCCCAAACTGGAGAACCATCATTATCATTAATATTTCATGGAACTGCATTAAATGAGACAATATTCAATATTTAACTATCTAATCCTACAGTAATTTATATTAGAAAATACCAACCATGTGAGAATTCAGCCAGCCGGATTATTTTATTGGATGAATCTTTGTCATTATTAATAACACTTCAGTATCTCATATTTTTTCAGCACAGAATGTAACATCCAAGGACTGAAAGTGATTTTGTTTCTAATTAATTCTCAAAATCCGTGGGAGACAGTGATGGAAGGATAAATATATTAATTTCGAATTGAAGAATTAAAGGCTGAGCCTTCAGATGCAAAAATTTTACTAGAGATGTGGATTACTTGGTTGGGCCCGGCACTTCAGTAGGTTTACTAATAATTTAGTGAGGAAGACCTGTTTGAACCAGAGAGTCTAAACCACAGAAAAAAGAAATGCAGTTTTATTTTTTTCAAGTCCCACATTATTATTTATTACTAATTTATAAGCAGAAATGAAACATTCTTCTGATACATTATCCAGAATTCCTATGATTAACATGCTTTCTTTGTCTATTTATACATAGGCAAACATCAGCCCATTCCAGGTGAATTATCTTTAACTTCAAAATGAGCAGAGTTCAAGTAGATAACATTTTAATAGACTCTTGATGATACCAAAAGGAATTCTACATGACCAACATATTTGAGATCTGTGTGTGCTAAAATGAAAAGTATTCGGCTTAATACCGTTATCATCTAGAATGCCTTCCAATTCATTTTCAGCAACAGAGAAGTTCTCATTGATCTTAAGCTTTTAAGTTCACACTCTGACACACTTACTATCCATCCCCTAAGATCCCTTTGGGTTATTCTCCATATAAGGAATAATGGTAAATATTTTTGCGGGGTAGGCCAGGTGCAGTGGCTCACGTCTGTAATCCCAGCACTTTGGGAGGCTGAGGCGGAAGAATCACGTGAGGTCGGGAGTTCAAGACCAGCCTGGACAACATAGCAAAACCCTATCTCTACAAAAAATACAAAAGTTAGCCTGATGTGGGCCAGGCACTGTGGCTCATGCCTGTAATTGCAGCACTTTGGGAGGCCAAATCGGGCAGATCACGAGGTCAGGAGATCGAGAACATGGTGAAACCCCATCTCTACTAAAAATACAAAAATTAGCTGGGCATAATGGTGTGTGTCTGTAGTCCCAGCTACTCAGGAAGCTGAGGCAGGAGAATCACTTGAACCTGGAAGGCGGAGGTTGCAGTGAGCTGAGATTGTGCCACTGCACTCCAGCCTGGCAACAGAGAGAGACTCCATCTCAAAAAAAAAAAAAAAAAAAAAAAAAAGATTAGCTTGGTGTGGTGGCACATGCCTATAATCCCATATCCCATCCACCCATCCACTGGGAGGCTGAGGCAGGAGAATCACTTGAACCCAGGAGGTGGAGGTTGCAGTGAATCGAGATTGCACCACTGTACTCCAGGCTGAGCCACAGAGCGAGACTCTGACAAGAAAAAAAAAAATCTAATCTGTTTTGTTGACTTTCCCTGTACTTTTTATTTTGAGGGAATCTCATCATATTTATCTTGCAGGAAGTCAAAGTCTTTGGTTCTTATTATATAATACATAAGGGGCAGACTCTCTTCAGTTTCCCAGACTGCCTAGTAGAAAGGGAGTTGGACACTCAATCAATATCAAAGCCAAACCAGTGGATGCACCAGCTTGGAACTTTCAATGGTGAGCCAGGGACCGTTAGAAGCAAGGATGGGGGTGAGTTTCTTGCAGGCATTGTGCAAGCAGCCACATTTCTAGGGCAGCCGTGTGGGTGATGCTCATGGCAATGGGTTTCCAGTGTGAGGGACATGGAGGGCTCCAGCCAGGCCACTGATAGGGGCAGAAGGAGAAATGCCTGTTTCTATATCTTATTTTGGTGACTCTGTTATTCTCAATATCCTTCTAACACATTTCTTTTCCACCTACGTTAGCCAGAATTAGTCTTTACCTTAACAAGAGAGAACATGACCTGATCACAGAATCAAAAATAATAATTCAAATTGCACAGATGTATTCTGTGTTGGTTAATTCTATAAATTATTGGAAAATAAATTAAGAGATCCTGCAATCTGCAATTTGGTGAGTGGTAAATAATAGTCCCTCATCAAAAAGACTGCATTCAGAAGGACTGGCAGTAAGAGATAAACAATTTCATAAATCCTTAGAAACCCAACAGGAAAAGAGCTGAGTCAAAGTTGAAATGGGGAACACATCAGCAAAAGCTCTTTCTTTTTTTTTCCAGCCATTGCTTCTCTGATTCAGATCAACAAGGAACAGAAGATGGAAAGGAAATTTTGATGGCTTAGCTATGATTTACTGGAATTGAGATATGTACATCTTGAAAATCACAGTCAAAATGAGCTCTAATCAAGAGCCTGATGGATGATATCAAAAGTCAGAGCTGCCTGGCCAAGTCTAGGAAGCTATTACCTGGGGCTGTGGAAAGGGTCAGTGCCGCCAAGCACTCTGCCTTTGCCATCCACTTTCAGAGCTATTCACCTGGTGCTTTTCAAGAATATTACCCTTCCCACAAATGATTGATAAAAGATGAATCTAAGAGTGTGAATAAGTTTTGGAAAGTAAATCCCAGAACCTACATATTCGCTACATGCTTTCAAGTTCAACAGAGAAATACAATCCTTTAGAGAACATTTTTCATCCATGGAGCATTTGGGGAATGCTTGAAAATTTTCTCTCCTTCTCAATTCCAATCATTTTTCCAAAACCCCTTCTTGAAATAAAAGTAAATCATAAATTGATTCATTGCTCATGAAAAATGTAAATTGACAGCTTGGGGGCATGGAGTCATTTATCTATTCACTGGTTAAATTTACACAGGCAACCGGCACATCCTAAAAATGACCGGCATCAGAATTTGTCCATACTCTGAAACCCAGATGTGAACAATGATCTGCATCCTCCTGGCAAGGATACACAGTTTAATACTGACCGTCTGGCTTTACCCTTTACTTAATCATGTCTGTTATTAGATATCTCAATTAAAAAAAAAGAGTACAGAAAGCTGAGAAGTTATATCCTTGATCTCACCTGAAGCTATGCTTTTCTCAGAGTAAATACATTTGGAGTTCTAAACACACACACACACACACACACACACACACACCCTTACTAAACTTCTGTGATTAAAATACAATTTTATGCATATGCACACAGACACACACACACAATAGTACTTTTGCTTCTAGAGCAGACAGCAATCATCCACAAACACATTTTCCCCCCTCCCCAAACTGTGTACGATTCTGTGTACACCCCATGGGGGCTTAATAAACACTTATGAATTGACTGACAAGAGAAAAACCAAGAAATGACAACCTTCAGGGTAGCCGTAACACAATTTTAACTTGAAAATTGCCCAGGAATAGACTTCACAATCTATGGGAACATACACAAATCATATAAAAAGAACCAGTGCCCCTCATATACCTAGAGTGGCCTTAGGGAATAGCTGGGTGAAAAATCACTGCTGTAGGAAGAAGAGTTCAGGCTCTCTATCTATTTACTGTTTGGCTTCTGCAATGAATCCTGCTGAGAGCAAGTTTTATTCTGTAATAACTTCTATTACAGAATAACTTTTAAAATATACATTACAACAAATATAAAAAAAAATGCTCTTCTCTAATATTTTCTTGCTAAGTCCACAAGCATCAAACCACTCCCAAGACTCATGGTGTTCTTAACTTCTCTGCAGCCATTGGTGACAAAAGGATAATCTACAGTGCTTGAACTGAATGGTAGCTTCTACAAATAAATGGCAATTCACAATAAGTCGTAATTTACCCAGTGACTTCTCTAAATTATGCAATAATGGTGTGCCCCAGTTCTTAAAACATGTTTCATTCAGTAATTCCTAGAGGACAGCTTCCAAATGTCTCAAGTTCAACAGTAGTTTGTTTTCCCCCTGAAGTTCATATATACTTTCAAATTTGGGAGTATGAATGGGATGGACTTTAAAGATTTTGTGGTCCCTGGAACTGAAGAATTATATAAATAAGATACACTTCTTATAACAATCTAACCTTGCCGTATTTCCTTAAAAGGGTAGTTATTCCAGTTTTTATCTATTTGAAAAGGAAATTTCTACAATGATAAATTTCCAAAAATGTATGATGATAACAAGTGGGAAAAAAATACAAAATAAGCTGTGCTCAAGATTGATCCCATTAAACTGAGAGCAGAGTAAAAAAAGAGAAGAAAACCATTTTTGGTTGTGATGAGGAATTTTTTTAACCAAAACATACAAGTCCCAAAATAAGTCTGTGTATGTCCTTACACTCTAAGGCCAAACACAAAATCTATTTTAATTCACTGTGTTAGTGGTGCTATCTTGGACTTTGCATTGCTCACTTGAATTATTCATAATGGTCAATAAAATTCTGCAAACACTGTTTTGCACCTCACCTGTCCTTCATGCTCACCTTATCTCATCTCACCCCACCATCCTTCCATCTTTGTCCCCAAAAGCACAGCTGAGGGATGTACTTGGTGATCTGCTTTGTTTGATCATTTGAGCTACTTTTCCAACACACACCTTTGAACATCTAAATCATTATTTATTGCAAAGAGTACAGACCACCTTCATTTCTTCCTAACATTACATCAGGTGGTTAAGAAAACTTTGGTAACTCTCAATCTTTTTGAGATTTTTCTATGTCAAGCCAAACACCTGTCACTTTTTTGGGTGATGACTTTCAGTTTTTAGATTCTCAGCTTGACAGGAATGAGAAAGGATCCTTTTTCACCCCCTTGTTTTCTTGGAGCCTCCTCTAGACTGTAAGAAGTGATGATTGACCGTTTTCCACACTCATCCACAGCCCTCTCTGTGGCCACATGTAAATTTGCCAATGGATAATTAAGCAACAGACACATCCAATAAATATAATAAATAAATTTGATTTTTTTCCTTTAGTAATTGGTTTCATCTGACTGCGTCTGATTATGTGTGGGGATATATAAACAGGATTAGAGAAGACAAAAATTAGATTTTGGGTCACACAAGTTGTGGAGCCCTAACCACTGTGAAATGCTTTTCTAATAATTATGTTATTATTCATAGGATTAAAATATAGAGAAGCCAGTTTGTGCCTTCTCAAGAAGTTTCAGTGGGGTTAAAAATAAAACTGGTGGCAGAATCATTACTGTAGGAAAATGGTGGCCAACTACAGAATAAATTTTCCTCTTGTCTGCATCCTCTTCCCACAATTCACACTGCCCTTTTCTCGGGCATCTGTTGAATCCATGCCAGTAGTGCCAAACCTTGACTTAGGTCTCCAATTCCAGGTATCATATCACACCAGGCTCCATGAATAGAAATGAGCTGGACACAATGGAAGGAAGAGGATGCGTGGATAGTTGTATGCAATTACTGCCTGAGAAAAACCCAAAATGAATTATAACCAAACCACCTTTCTAATATGCTTTAGACATAAAGAGCAAAAATCTTTATTTGTATTTTTTTCAAAAAGGAACCACCCCTATTGGCATTTACTTTCTTAGACATCCTTTTGGCATCAAATTACTTTTAGCATCAGATTTAGCTCAGTACGTGGCCTGTCTTGGGAATCCAAAAACTACTTATTGAAGGAATTTTTAAAAAATAAAGACTAAAATATACTTTCCTGTAGCTTTAATTTGCTTATGTTTCTTCTAAGTGATTTCTACTGAAATGTGTAATATATAACTATATACTCTTACATATGAAATGGCTTGGAAAAATTATCATAATTAAGATCAGAAAGTCTGTTGCAAGGAGTTATCTAGCAATAAAAATGATTTTAACTATGTAGATATTTACTGTTTGGACTAGCCATATGCACGAATATAGCTATCTTCTATCATGGTTCAGTTTTATTCCTAGAAACAATCTAGGAACCTAACTTGACTATTTCCAACATTTACAATAAAATTTTGAAGTGACTTTTTTAAAAAAACATGTTACAAATATAGCAAGCAGCTTATACAATTTTCTGAAGTAATTATTTCACATTATGAGATTTTTTAACCTCTGCCAAAAATCATTTCTATTTAGTAGCATTTTTTTTCCACATAGACACTTATTCTTCTAATTGAAGTAGGAGAGATGTCAAAATATTGAGTATCAGTGAAGTTCTAAGCAATAATAAAAATGACATTTAAATGTAAAGTTTTTCCAAGAGAATCCTCCAGGATGTGTCCCACCTTAAGATTTAGAATCGGTATATTATCATTAGTATCAATTTCATCTTCATCACACCAATTACATCCTCCCGCTTTAGTCCTTGTCTCCTACTAGGTAAATTAAAAATTGCAAAACCTAAATAAACAAAAGAAATGACTTATTCTTTGGAACCAAATTCATAAATGAGTTCTTTATTTTACAAGGTACATAACTCCCTTTTATATAACTTAATAAAAGCACTTTACAAAAGTCATATTAACAGAAAAGATTATACAAAACTTCTAATATTTTTTCAAATAAGCTTAAGCTTACATACAGCTAAATAATTTAGTCAACAGAGCAGTAAAACTGACTGACTTTTTGAAAGCTGGGTTCTATACTTTTATAGATCTGCATCACATTCCAGAAATCATAAACTCATGTAATAGTAAGAATGAATGAGCTGAAAACTTCATATTTATGTTCCAAAAACCTGTAGCAGAACTAAATTAGAGATGGAAGAGTACACTGGGCTTTCTCCATAGGTCATCTAAACAAATATCCAAGTGACTCAAGCGTCTCTCAAAGAATTGCTGTCAAGTCCTGAGAAGTCTCAACTTTCAAAGAAACCCTCTCTTTCCCCCCAAACAATGCACTGTTATATTTCCCAAGACAGAGGTGGTTCTTTAGCATCTACCACGAATATTCTGGCAAGAGCAACACCATGTTGATAAGATAAGGGATGCTGTCAATTGTTCCATCAAAGATCAATTCCTATTGTTCAGTAGAAAAAAATCTTTATGGGGAATATAGATTCTATTCTAACATATTAGCTGTGTTACTTGGTTTCAGTTTCTCTTTATCAAACTCATAGGAAAAGTGTAAAAACACCTGCTCTCTTTTCACTCATAGTACATTCGAAAAGCACATTACTGTACTTTTTCCCTGATCATTCTTTTCACCTGAAAGGCTCGTAATTCTATACTTAGGAGAGGTGGGCCAGTGAAAGTCTGGCAGTAAAAACGAAGGAACTTTACTTGCAAACTATTTCTGAGGTGCTTCATTTTTTCCCATTAAGAATTCATAAAAAGGATGCAGTATTTCAGTTTCAGAATCATACTGTAGTATACAATATATTAAATAGACTGCAGTCATGAGTAACATTAATTTTAGGGAAAACATTTTCTACCTCCATAACTTTATGAAATCTTTTGGAAATATGAGCAGGACCTGATATATTATCCTCTTATTACACAGTCTTAAAACACCTAAAATAATTATGTTAAGTAGTGGTTTATGTTTATTAAGGAGAGAAAACAACCCAAAATAATTTTTAAAAAGTCTGTTGCTGATAGTGCATAGTACTGAACAATGTGAACATTCCCTCTTTAAAGCAAAATATAAACCAGAAGTACAAAGAATACTTTGACAAAACTGCTATTTGCTCTCAGCAAATAAGACTCATAAAATTACTGTTGCTTTCACAAAACTTAAAGCAGAGTATTATGTAGTTAGAAAATACATCATGCTTAATCAAATACTGCTATGTCCCCTACTACTGAGAATGTATCAAAAGACATGTCTCCTCCCCCCCCCAAAAAAAACATATATATATGTCTTGCAATGTTCCCTGAAGGTTGGGAATCTGTGGTATATACTATGAGTGCAGAATGGGGGGTTTCTCCTTGTGAGTACATCAGGGCTACTGGGAACCAGCAGTTCAAAGAACAAAACTGTTGCTTTACACAAAGTAATGAAAGACAATAACATAGGCTTTTCATGTTGCCCCCTTCAAGCTAAGTAGGGTGATGCTAAGTTGTGCCTCTTTAAGTCTGTCTTTCTGTTTAAGTTTTAGTTCTCAAGTGGGAAGGGACAAAAAGGCCCTTGGAAATGACCTTGACCATATTTCACCAGAAATCACTTCTCAAAATTAATCTGCACAGAAAGAAAACAATGAAAAAAACTAGCCAAACAGGTTTTCCTTAAAAACACACAAGTAGTTCAAAGTTCCCTTCAATTGCACAATGAAAAAATAGCAATTAATGTTAAGAAACATTCAGTAGCTATAGCATAATAAAGGATTCACACATGCAGAGAAACCTCCATTCTTATCAAAATGAAAGTAGGAACTCTAACAATACAGCCAAATGTGATTGACAAGTTCCATGAATCAACAGTCTCGGATACCTATCTTTCTACATAGCCATCACCCCAAGTTACCTTCTCCCCAGTTAAGTCCAATGCCATGCTGAAATTTAACAAGAAGACCAGTTGAAATGAAACTATCTAAGTTACCAGCAAGGCTATCAAGATGATAGTATTATTTTCATACATTAACCTGAAATCAACACTAGGCACAAAAAGTTAAAAGAAGCTTAGTTAAGATTTAATTAACAAACTTAATAATTATTATCATAATAAACCCATCAACAAGCCACAAACACAATACCACACCAAACGATGTAAGAGTCATACAAATCCAGTTGTTTGAATAGTAATCTAACCTGGTATCACACCCAAAATGTAGATATGTTTAATATTTTAACACAAATTATCAGAGCTTTTCAGAAGTTGCCAGGAAACTAGAAGTAGACAGAGGGGTGGCTGGGTAAAAAAAACAACCTCAGTAGGAAAAAAATGTTCTTTAAATCAACGTACTCATAGTCTTCGAGTCTAGTGAAGATACTGAAACTGAAGCTAATTTTGATGTTTCATAAATAAATTCATGATCTGAATATGTTACATAACAATTAGAAATCTTGCCCCACGAGCCTAGCAAAATAAGCCCTTAGCCTGGTCAGTTATCTTTTCCTACACATGTGTGTGGAATATGCCAGAGAAATAATACAGCTGCCCAGCATGGGGTATATTGCTTTTTGGTTTGGGTCCTAGAAGGAGGGAACCTGACGCTTTAGGTACCTTGGGTTCTTAGGATTGAAGTTTACTATATGAAATCATTTTTCTTTAGTACCTAGACAAACAAATGCTTCACTCAAAGACAACTGTGGTCTTAATGAATGCAAGCTGGATTTTCCCCCCACTAACTTGATCAAAACAGTCCATTCAAAGGTCCATGAAAATATTTTAAAACAGCAATATTGCCATCTCAAGGGACCCATGAATAAGCTGAGCTTTCATTCTAAATAAAATGCCTTATTACTTTCAGCAGACTACAAAGGAAGAAATAAGCTTTAGGTCTTAGGAATTCTGTTCACAATTTTAAGAAAGGCTTTTGTCAACACAGGGGACCCAGAACAGGTGAATTTGCATGGTGCCTTAGAGTAGGTTTTTTTCTACATAAAAGAAGATCTGACTAGTTGAGTTAATTTACAGTTTGTTTTGTTTTTTGGGGCTGAAGAGCCTTCACTTTTTCATGTAGTTCTTCCAACATTAGTTAAGTTTACATTTAAACAAAGTTTAAGAGTATTATTGCAAACGTATTCTTGGCACATAGACAAGTTGCTGCTCTATGATGTGGCAACCACCTAGCAGAAGGAGGGTTCCTTGAATAACAACATTTTCCCTCTGTAGAATGTATGTGTCTCAGAGTATCCCTGAACTGGATGTCCTCATCTCAGTTTAGAGTTCAGGGTTTCTCAGGATGATGATACATGTACAGAAACTGCAACCTGCTGTACCACAGAGGCCCCCTTCCTCCATTTAAGCTGCCATTATATTAGTTCATTTTTCCATGGCTTAGCAGAAATTTTACAACTATACACTGATTCCTTTCTAAATTGCTGATTTGCCTTTACTCACTGGCCCTTCAGTTTTTCTACTCAACTGGAACTGAAAACTTAAGAGGAAAAAAGCAAAACAAATAAAACATGGTAATGATCAAGAACCCTCCAAAGAACTTTAAATGATATGAATGCATTAAAGAGCTGTTGTATATTAATTTTTAAATAATATTTAAAACAGATCCCGGCAGCCAGAGTTACAGAGTGAGTTCTATTTTTAAGAAAAGAGTTAGAGTTCAATTTGCATTCATTATGCTGGCTATTTTAAATAATTTTATTCCATGTGTATGCAGAACCCTCCCCTCCATTGACAAGATGCCACTTCAAGTAAGATCTAAGAGAGATATTGCTGTACGTGTCTCACAATTTTGAATAAAACAGTACCAGCAATCTCCCTCTTTCTCCATAGCCCTAAATTTATTATTAAGTAAATTTAGCAATAGCTCAATCACTGGAGCCCAAGACAGTATGTGATGCACTAAAGCACTTATATGTTTATTATCTTTTGCAAGCAACATGGGTAGTGGTGTCTATTATTGCCTCCTGCAAATCTGTAGCAATGTGATGCAAAACGGCATTTTTAAAGAAATTCTCTTTTGGAATGCAAATGATTCCTCCTGCAATTTTGAATATTTTAGCCAGCATGTACCATACAGTAGTTCTGGAATCACTGGCATCTCTCATGCTGTCAAAACTGAGTCAAATGCATTGTAATCCTGGAGAACGATAACCTTAAACAGCAATGCAACGTTAAAATGCATCCTAAAAAAAAATCCCTATAATTGCGATGAACATTAGAGAGAAACCGGCAGTCCTTCTGCAGGGAAATAACAGTCTGCTCTAGCAATCTTTCCCCTCCCCCCCTGAAACTCATGCAACTAATGATGACCTCCCGAAGTGCCGAATTTAAATGTTCCAGCATTCATCTGAGGATGAAGGAGGAAAAAAAAATACATAGAAAACCATGAAACAAGTTGTAAACTGCACAAACGCAAGGAGAGAAAGAGAACTGCAGCTGATTCAGGAGCGATTGCAGAATGAGGAGCAACAGAAAGGAAACAAGAAAGAAAGAAAAGGGGAAAAAAGCCTTAAGCATTAAAGAGTAAGAAGTGAAAAACATTTACCAGCAGCTCGGTCAGTAGCTTCGCTCCCTGACACCATCTACATAGATAACTTAGCCTAGAGTCTTCGGTCCCAGCTCGCTTTGGAGCAAAATTCCTTCACTTCGAGGGGGCAACACACACCCTCAAGAAAGAGAGAGAGAGGGAAAGAAGGGGAAAAAAAATAATCCCAAAGACCAAGACAGGCTTTCCCCCTCCTCCCTCTTACCCGCCCCCCGGACTCCCCAAACGGTGCTCGCTTCTGCACAGTTCTGCCTGCTGTGCCGCTGAGCTCGATGTTGCCGCGGCGGCTGCTGCTGCTGCTGCTGCTGCTGCTGCTGCTGCTGCTGCTGGTGGTGGTGCTGCTGCTGCTACTTCGGAAACGATTAGGAGGAGGACGCCCAAGCACGACCTGAGCCTGCGAGCCACCCAGGACCAATGTGCAACCTGCTCTGGAATCAAACCCATAACACACGCACGCACACCCAGTGACTCCTGCACGCGAGCTCTCGCGCGCACACACGCGCTCGCCCGCGCGCCGCACAACACACGCGCGCGCGCGCACACACAAACACACACACACACACACACACACACACACACACACAGAGCGCCGTGCGCCGCCCGCTAGCCCTCGCGGTCCCTGAATGGGGAGTGCGAGCCAATCCCTGGGCCCCGAGAGCGCGCACCGGCCCAGGCCGCCGGGGTTGGGTGGTGGCGCTGGGGCTGCAGCTGCTGTGGCTGCGGGGTACGCAGCCAGGGAGGGGCTCACGGCTGAGAAAGAGGGGCGCTAGGGACACGTGCACCCCTTTGTCTGCAGAGAGAACCCCAGCTGGGCGTTTCCAAGACCAGGAACTGAGCGCGCGAACCCCGGGCGGCTCAGAGTTCAGTTCGGCTCTAGGGTTAGCCTGAGGAGGCTTGGATCCCTAGCTGCACGCACCGAGGGATCCGCTCGGCACCCGATGCACCACATCTATGCACCACAGCTACACCCAGGTCTCTGCAAACAGGAGAGCACAGCAAGCCTTCGAGTCCTGCGGACGACCCGAGCCTGCCCTGGCTCTCGCGAGCATGTCCAGTGCTTGGCTGCACCCAGACCGCTTCTTCCAGGGTTAGGAACGCAGAGCAGGGCAGAGCCGAGCTCTGCAGCTTCCAGAGAGAAGCAAAGGTTCCAGAGTCTTCAGCCGCTGCTCACCTGCCTCATCTAGGCTGCCCGGTGGCTCTGAACCTGCACCCAAGGACGTAGTGATGGGGAAGCTAGATTTCCAGACGTCAGAGAGGAGTTACTTCTCTTTTTTTCATATAGGGAATCTTTGAAAAGAAACAATTCTTAGCCCAGGAAAGGCTGTTTCAGTTTACAGGGTAATTAACAGAAAATCCAGCAGGGCCTGGTGGTTTTAATAGTAACAGCTGAACAAGTATTGCTTGTTCAGCTCTGTGCAGGCTCTGTGGAATGTGTTGCCTATGAATTATCTGATTTTAACCTGTTCAGACACTGTATGATCCACCCTAGGAGGAAACCGAGGCCCCAGAATGTTACCAACTGCTAGTATATCATACCCAATACATCAAGAATCTAAACCCTGCAGTCTGGCCCTCAGTCACTGGAGACAGGATGAGGAGTGTGGATGAACGCTAGGCAAGTACAGCAAGGTAAAGGCCTGGTGGGTGTTTGGGTGATAACATCCTCTGGCCTTCAAGCTGTACCTGGCTTGTTGTCTTCAATAACCTACAAACCTTGAAAAACTGCATGCCTGAAATTTGCCAATGTCTTCATAGTACTAATATTAATAATACTTATCTCTTGATTACATACTCTTGTTCATCCTTTAATTAGGTGCCATCTTAATCTTTAAAGGAACTCTGTAAAGAAACTATCCTACCCCCCTTCTACATATGAGGAGGCTGAGACTGAGATGTGGTGTCACTTCCCTCAAGGGACAGGCCCTGAATGAAGACACTGTTTGTCCTATTGCAAGGTCTATGCTGTTTTTTACTAGAATTTGCATCTCCCTTAATTGCCTTCTGAATAAAGCCATGGGATGAGGCCATGGCAGTTACTTTTGATTTCATTCAAGAAATTCATTGATTTTGTAACATTCACTCATTCAAGGATATTTACTGAGCATTTACTTCCTTCAAGGTGCTATCCTAGTGGTGACGGGATGACAAGGGCATTATCTCTATACTCTTTGGGCTTATATTCTAACAAGAAGACGGTGATCATATGCTTAAAATGCTAATGAGGGGCATTTACTGAGGGCTTGCTAGGAATGCATTTCTCTCCCCTCTTCATCTAGCAAACTCCTATTTATCCTTCATCTATCTCTTCCAGCATCAACTTCTTCAGGGAAGTCGTGAGATCTTTCTGGGTTATTACAGGTGTTCAAGGCATCATGTAACTTTAAAAAATTTGTGGTAGCTTCAGTTTTCCACTTGTGTTATGATTTAGCTAGTGTATGTCTCCTAGACACACATGAACCCTCTAGACTGTAAACTCCATGGGGGCAAGAATGTGTCTCTTTTAATTAAACTCACTCTCACTCTCTACCACACACACACACACACACACACACACACACACACACAAACTACTCTTGGAATAAGAATAATAATTCCTAGGAGAGGGGAGCTGTTTTTATTCCCAATTCACAGATGAGTAAAATGTGGCTGAGTAAGATTAAGTAGCTTGCCCAAGGTCACATACCTGGATAACTGGCAGAGAAGGACTCCCACGCAGGTCTGTCTGGTGCTACAGTCCACATGACTAACCCCTGTCATGTTGTCCAACAGCCAATCAGACTACATGAAAGGGGATCATGGGAAATAAGGTAGACAGATGCTGGGGATGGCATTATGGGGGAATACAGAAGTAACAGAGATAAATCATTCAGTATAGTAAGAATTAAAGAGGCATGCAGTAGAATTTTTTGAGACAGGGTCTTGCCCCGTGGCCCAGGCTGGAGTGCAGTGGCACGATCTTCACTCACTGCAACCTCCGCCTCCCAGGTTCAAGTGATTCTCGTGCCTCAGCCTCTGGAGTAGCTGGGATTACAGGCATGCACCATCACGCCCGGCGGATTTTTGTATTTTTAGTAGAGATGGGGTTTCACCATGTTGGCCATGCTGATTTTGAACTCCTGGCCTCAGTGATCCACCCGCCTCGGCCTCCCAAATTGCTGGAATTACAGGCATTAGCCACCTCGCCAAGGATATTCTTAATCTACTATGGGCACCCACCATGTGCTAGGCAACTTGCTCAGATTTTTTTTTCTCATTTTAACCTTAACAATTCTTTTGGCTAAGCATGGTTATTTCCAATTACAGACAATGAAACAGACTCCCCAACAAACCTGACTATAAACTCCAGGGGTACAGTGATATGTCTACTTTAATTTCCCATTTTATCTCATAGTATCTGCCAGCTAAAGTCACTCTCTGTTCCTCTCTCAACCCCTCTCTTACACACACACACACACACACACACAGACACACACAGACACACACACACACACACACACACACGCAATTCGCCCAAGGTCTTACAGCTAGTAAGTAGCAGAGTTAGGATTTGAGGCCAGGTCTGTCTTCACCGTTTCAGAGGAGGTTGGTATGGGGGCGAGGTGATGTCAGTGTGGTGTTGCAGTTTAGCCATGCTATAGTATTTGATAATGCCGGAGGATCTAACTGCCAGGGAGAGATACTGCCGGTGCATTTTCCCCTTCATCAAATCTTATAAGGAATTTGAGATTCAAAGACTTAAAGTTATTTTACCAAGGTCACAACCAGTGTCACAATGCAGAGCTACATTCTAAACCCAGGCATCTCTCACTGCAGACGTGTGGTACAGGATGTTGTAAATGGCACTGGGGCTTTCCAAGATTTTCAGCAAATCCTGGCTGGGGGAACCCTCACTCAGAGAGGACATGCTGTCCAGAGCCAAGCAAGCCTTCTGCACCACTCCTCCCACCTGTTACCTCTCCTCGAGGCTCCACCTTTGTTCAGGCCCCTGTTCCTCTGCCTTTTCAGGCCTTACCTGGAACCCAATGCCTCACTGCCTCCCTGCTCATTGTCAGCAGCAGCAGTGGCTACAAGCCACGGTAAAGTAAAAACTGCATTTTGTCCAGCTCTGCTTCTAAGCTGACTGCTGGGCATGCTCAGTGATAAAGGGAAGCTTTGATTACAAATAGGAAGCTTTTGTTAAACACCTTTCCATTTTGGAGTATTACTTTGTAACTGGATCAGTGTGTGTAGCCCGTTGCAGAGATCCCTAGGCTATACCAATCAGGTCTGTAAGAATGAGATGCTTCCACATGGAAAAATATCTCCATCCTTTGCATCCTCTACCTTATCTCCAGCATTCATCTCGCTGTTCTGTCCTCTCTGTAAGTGCACACAAAGAGCATCCACAAACTGTATCCGTTCTATTTACATACCTCACAGCTATAGACATATGCATCCAGCTACAAATACATACCAGCCCTTGACTGTGGATTTGTTTCTTGCAATTGTTTGGCCATTAACTTGCTCTACACTGAAATGTTATGAATAAAGTGAAGTTTCTAAGAAAAGGCTAAATATTAACCTCTCTTTTCTCCCTCCTCCACCCCCCTCCCCAGAATAAATGTATTCCCTAGAAAATGCTTCAGGCAGCAGAAACGTCTCGGGGATTTTTGAAAACCTCTTCCTGTGTATAAGGTAAGTTGATTTTTGTTCACATGTGCAGTGCAATCCTTAACTCGTGATGAGAATAACCGGTTAAGAAAGGCATGAAGGGCAACCTTCAAGGAAAACTTTGCAGAATACTTAAAGTGTTAGTTGATATTCTGCTGGGGCACCCAGGACACGAACTTTTAAGCTTTTTGAGAAGTCGTGTAACAGCTGGGCATTTTAATGTAGATCATCACAGTTATTCTTCATAGCAACTCTATGATCCCCATTTTATAGATGGAGAAACAAAGGCTTCAAAAGAGCAAATCAGTTACAGCCAACTCATACAACTAGTAAGTATCCAAGGTGGAATGTAATACCAGGTCTGTCTGCTGCCGAATTCTGTATGGTGAACTCTTCATTCTGCTGCCTCGAACTTCCCACATCCATTTGAACAGGGAGGCAGATGTAGGGAGGGGTGATGGTGACGGCTCATTTGTACTTGGTGTGCACAACACTTCGTGTATAATAGTATCATTATTTTCCAAGAACACTTAAACTCAGTTAGGATAGCCTCTCTAAGGGAGCATTATTTGTTTTATTTGGCAAATTAGAAAAACTGATGTACATGGAGCTTAGAGGGCAAAAGACCAAACAAAATGAGTGTCATTGGAGCAAAGGCGTCTGAGTTCTCATTGATGAGCCTTTATTCCCTTCGCTTTTAAATAGCATTGCACTGTAATTGTCAACCATTTCCCAGGTCACACAGTCTCAACAGACATTCTCATCAATTTTGTAAAATCCTTTACAGAGTATATGTACTGGAGAATTTTCACTTTCATCCGGATGGGAAATTTAGAAGTAGAAAAAAACAGATTTTTTTTAAATCACGGCAGTTCTCCATGTTTGTTTCCAATGTCTTCAACATCCTTTAAAGATGTTTTAGTAGATGCTGTGACTTCCCATTTTTAAGAGAGGCCAGGAAAAACCCTTGAAAATATAATCTCAATCAGGCAGATTAACCTGGTGCCATTAGTTCACTCATGTGGCAGCATTTGCATTTTTGTATAGGGCACCTTGCATAGAAAAGGGTAACCAATGAGATCTTGGTTCTATAACTTAAGGGTAGAAATCTTGTTTGGTATATTGTAAGATAATTATTTATCTTTCCAGAAATCAGTTAGATAAAAAGCTTAATGTCTGAGAACCTCACACAGATGTAATAGTACAGTTTGAGCATCACAAATCCAAAAATTTGAAATCTGAAATGCTCCAAAATGGGCAACTTTTTGAACACCAATATAACTCAAGTGGAAAATACCATGCCTGACACCTTTACTTTCTGATGGCTCAGTGTATACAAATTTTGTTTCACGCACAAAATGATTTTAAATATTTTTTAAATAACTTTCAGACTGTGTATAAACTGTAAATGAAAGTTAAATGAATTAT